>NW_003315907.2:183290-366580 GCF_000001405.40 Homo sapiens | reverse complement strand
GAATTCTCAGATATATAAATCTTCAGGTTACAAAGGTCAATAGCATCCAGAAAAAATGAATGAAAAAGATTCAGGGCCAGGCACAGTGGATCACACCTGTAATCCCAGCACTTTGGGAGGCCAAGGCAGGTGGATCATTTGAGATCAAGAGTTCAAGACTAGCCTAACCAACATGGTGAAATCCCTTCTCTACTAAAAATACAAAAATTAGCCAGGTGTGGTGGTGCCTGCCTGTAATCCCAGCTACTCAGGAAGCTGAAGCAGGAGAATCACTTGAACCCAGGAGGCAGAAGTTGCAGTGAGCCGAGATTATGCCACTGCACTCCAGCCTGGGCAACAAGAGCGAAACTCCCTCTAAAAACAAAAACAAAAACAAACAAAACAAAACAAACAAAAAATTCAGGTAAGACCAAGAATAAAGACAGAAACCTAGCATTTCCAGGGGAGGAAAACTTGGGAACAGACCAAAAAAAGAGAGAGAGAGAGAGAGAGAGAGAGAATCAGGATGGAATTAGAAAGTAAAATTGGATTCAGGAAAATAAGACAGAAATAATTTTTAAATTCTAAAATTTTTAACTTAGAATTTTATACCAAGTCGATACACTGAACAAGTGCCAGAGCAGAATAAAAATTTTTTTTGTATGGGAGAATTAGAATTATTTTTCTTACACTAGAGAACATATATCAGTGAACTCAGACAGAAAAAAAAATAACTATGTGTGATACAGCAAATCTAAACCAGAAAACTGATGGGGGAATATTTCAAGATGGCATGTGAGAGTCCAGATCAGAGCAAGAAGAAAGGGTCCCCAGGAGTTCAATTGACAATGATGTCAAAGTACAGGTGGTGGAATATTATGCCGGGGAAACCCAACAACACATCCCTAGTAGCTGTACCCTAGCAATTCACAGCCCAAGTCCTTTCCTGGAACAGATATCACTATTTTAAAAGAAACTATATTATTTATCTCTTAGGATAATGATATTGTGAGCAGAGAGTGAATACAATGTTGTCTCCTTTGTGGAAAAAGATGAGGGCTAATTTTTTGGCTCCGTTGACCTGGAAACCTGATAAAAGTGGAATATTAGCTGGTTACCAGACAACATTGCTAATGGCAAAATGACCCTTGATTGCTAAACTACACCTGAACAGGGAGTGCTATATGTGAACTCTATTGTCCTCATGGGAAGTACCAGCTTTGGGTTTCCCTGAGTGCAGTGCCCGCTCATAACTGAGCACACCCCTGTTGGCATGTCTGGAAGCTATGCCCATGGAAATAGTATAAGAGATACTGATTCCTTTTGGAATGCAGCTCCTACACCTACACATGTGGTCTCATTCTCTCATATCTCAGTTGTCTTTGAGAGTGTCATAAGAAAAGTAGCTGGATTGCTGTGTGCACTGCTGCAAGGATTCCCGCTGCAAGGATTCCCACTGCCAGGCTCCCTTGCTAGCATGCTGTGCTTTTTGTTCTGTGTCTTTCCAGGTGAAATGTTTCAGATCTGGCCTATTAAGATGTGAGTGTGAATGTTCAGCTGAGTCTATGACTGCTATAAATTATTTACAATTTAATAGGAAAGAGTCAATGAAGTCATTTTTATTATAAAGATATTATAAAAGAAAAAGGTAATGTGGAAATAAAATCAAAGCTATCTTGCTGGACTTTTTTGACATTTAACACAGGGAGTTTTTATTTCATAAATCTGAGCAGAAAGAACTAAAACTTTGCAGAGGGCTTAGTAAAGCAGTTTGGAAAATAAGCTGTTTTTATATTTTCTCTTTTGACTTTGCATTCATACCAGTGATTGTGCACATGCATATGTGCATATGTAACATATGTAAGAGAGGAAGAACTAGAAGTGGCAAAGATAGAAAGACCTAGAAGTTGCTGACAACAAAGTACATACAGGCTTAAATAATTCTATTTACAATGTTAACCAGTAGAGAAAGCCCAAAGTAGAGTACTAGGTCTCCTTCCTCCATAGGCTCAGATCAATTGGTAATGTTAGTAACTCTAGAAAGAGCAGTATACAATATTGTTTATATATATATATATATATATGAAGGAAACTATAAGGAGACCCAAAAATAGAAATGGTTAAAAGTGGTTGCCTGGCAAACAGAATTGTGGGTGGGGAATGTAACATGCAGCTGTTATTTTCATTATTATAATGAAATTTAATTCTAAGTAATTTTTCATGTACACCTTTACTTTGATGAAAATATTTTAAATATCAGTGATAAATATTTACATAAGTATATTGTTATTAGGGAGTGCTTATATTAGCTTCCATTAAGTAAATCAAGACAGACTTGTATCTAAGGCCCACTTCTGCTAAACATATGCTGAAGAGACAGAATAAAATAGATAATCTAAAATAGTACACGAAAAATGTTACTAACATGACGATATTTCATAAACATAAACATAATTTAATAGTTTGGGTATATAAATCCTCTTATGAATTCAACAAACCTTTAATAATTGAATCTCCTAACTTGAATTTAAGATATTGTATTTAAATATATTTACATATATATGTATGGTTTTACTGACAATTAAAAATATTACATTTACGGAAGAGATATTATTTAAGCATTTAACAATCAAATGTGATTATAAGTGTAAAATAATATAGCTTTATAAGCATTAATATATATCTTAATATATATAATAAATAGCCCAGTGATAACTTACAAGATGTTGAATGATGTAAAATAAAGGGTTCTCCAGGATAGTCTCCATTGTGAAAATAGGCCTGAATTTCAGTAACAAAAAATAAAATAATTAGTTTGCTAATGTGAATTTATATATATATATATATTATATATCACAATGTAAAACATTTATATTATCTTTCATACCATGCATACAATAAAAGTATGCTGATTTGCTTTAAACTTCAAGGTTATGTCAGTATGTTGTCAAATATATTTGAAAAGACAATCAAAAAGATATCTTATCTCACTTAGCAATAAAAATATTTATAGTTATTAAACAATTATTAAATAATTATTTAAAATAATGAAACTGGATGAAGAAATAAAATCCAATACATCAAAATATTCATAAAGTTAAAATTCCCTATTAATAGGCTAATATTTAATTAAAAAAGGAAATTCAACCATAAGCTGTTTACTAGAATTATGCATAAAATGCACATACATTTTTTTAAGGGCAAATGGATATATAGTAAAATTTACTATATAGGCATAATGCATAAACACCTGTGTCTCATAAAATGTAATACAAATGAAGTGAAAACAATTTACATATACAGGGAAAATGAAAAGAGCAAAAGAGCAGTAAGAATCCTTGACCAAAAAAATTTAAGTAAAATATATTTGAATAATATCATTAAAAGAGAATAATAATAAATATAATAAATCTGACAAATATATATCTAAGCTTTTATCCTATGGAGAATATATAATTTACCCAATATTCACAGAATATTCATAAATATCACACATAGAGCTGTAAAAATTATTCTACAAATCCTAAAAGGCAGAAATTGTAAAAGCCAATTAACTTTTATCAGCTAATAATTAGTAGCAATAAGAAATTAAAGCACCAGAAATGTAGAAAAACTCTCTTAAATAATGGATATATTAAAAACTCTTCCAAATTATAACTACAGACTCATTAGAAATCATCAATAATCAAAATGTTTTACTTTAAGAATCATTGATTACATTTCATGTGAAGGCCTTCAGAAATTAGTGACAAACGATATAGACATGGGTTACAGTCAAAATTTTACCAAAGTACAATCCATAGCCTTTTTTTTCCCTTTAGTTTATAAAAATGAAAAAAAATTACAAGGAAGAAAACACTTTTAATCCGAAAGCCACCTGAAGAGCATCAAAATAAATCTATGGAAAAGTAATACTAATAAATCAACTTCATTAATTTATTAACCAGAGATCACAATGGTGAAAAAGCTGAAATGACTGCTCTCTCATGAAGGAGTGAACACAAAACATGATAGTGGAGACAGAAATAAGCATAATAAGAAGGTATGGCAAGTATAATAAAGAAAACAAAAACCATCTTTTGAAGATTGGGGGAAGAGAATTCGAAACTGAATAATTATCTCCTACTTTGAACGTTAAGGTTGTATTTTAATATGATGTACACCTATATTTTTCCATAGTAACTTATACGATTTGAAGAGTGGGAGAGGCATATTCTAGGAAGTGGGAAGAGCGTGGAGGGAGGTGGCTAAAAAGAGTAACACCTAGGTGCCTCTGAGAAATTATAGAGAAACCAGTGCACCTGGAGCTTAATGGGCACTGGAGAAGCAGTGGGGAATGAAGTATAATACACAATGATGTGACAATAAGAAAATATTTCTTTTAGGTTGACTATTCTTTGAAAAAATATATATAGCACACTCACTCAAAAAGAGTAAAATATCTGAAAAGACTAATCCTATTGAAAGAAGATATAAATGAGTCTTAAAGAATTTCTCTGCATGAAAGGAATGAAGACAAATTTTTCAGGAACAAATCACTCCTATACTATTTAAAGTTATATAATATAGGCCTGGCACAGTAGCTCACGCCTGTAATCCCAGCACTTTGGGAGGTAAGGTGGGCAGATCACTTGAGATCAGGAGTTCTAGGCCAGCCTGGCCAACATGGTGAACCCCCGTCTCTACTAAAAATACAAAAATTAGCCAGGCATGGTGGTGCATGCCTGTAATCCCAGCTTCTTGGGAGGCTGAGGCAGGAGAATCGCTTGAACCTGGGAGGCGGAGGTTGCAGGAGCCGAGATCACGCCACTTCACTCCAGCCTGGGTGACAAAGCGAGACTCTTTCTCAAAAAATAATAATAAAATTTTTTTAAAAAGTTATATGATACAGAAAAACAGGAACATATAAGCAATGTGTTTTATCAGATCAGTGTAACCTTTATACCAAATTTAATAAGAATGATGTCATCCAACGCCTATGCCAACACCGTCTCTACTCACTGAATGATCTCCTTTTTGAATATCTACTAATAAAGACAATAATAGGCTGTTGATTTCAATAATACTCTGAGAGAATAACACACAATGACAGAGCAGGGGTTTTTCTCTTAGAATGTGACAATGGTTTTGCATCATTTAAACTAATCACACCAGGGCATCACAACTATGGCATCATCTATCATAATGCCCTAAAAATCGATAAAATCCAACCGACATTTCCAGTTCAAAAACAAAATCAAAAAGTTTATAAATATGAAAACACTTCTTTAAGTGATAAAGAATATGGGCCGGGCACGGTGGCTCACACCTGTAATCCCAACAATTTGGGAGGCTGAGGCAGGCGGATTACTTGAGGTCAGGAGTTCCAGACCAGCCTGGCCAACATGGTGAAAACCTATCTCTACTGAAAATACAAAAATTTGCCAGGTGTGGTGGCAGGTGCCTGTAATCCCAGCTACTCAGGAGGCTGAGGCAGGAGAATCATTTGAACCCGGGAGGCGGAGGTTGCAGTGAGCCGAGATCACGCCACCACACTCCAGCCTGGGTGACAGAGCAGGACTCCCTCTCAAAACAAAAAACAACAACAAAACAAACAAACAAAACAAAACAAAACAAAACAAAAAAAGAATATGAGGCCGTTTGTCAACATCATATTAAAAAATTAACTATGGAAATTTCTATTTAACAGGAATAAAAGTGACAGATACATTTGTTTAAAAATAAAAAGGGGAATTATGTAAGACAAAGTGCTGTGAAGAAAACTAAAAGGCAAATTATAAACTGATAACATTTTTACGCATGTGACAAAGAGTTTAATATCATTAATATTCAAGGCATTTCTCCGGAGAAAACTGGATAAAAGAGGCAAAGAATAACACAAAGAACAATAAGTAAAGAAACTTCATTAAAAGAAAGATATCAATACCATATTTCAACCACCAAATAAAGAAAAAGAAAGGCGTATTCAGTGTTGGTGAGCCTCTCAAGAAGCAGTCATTTCATACACTGATACACCAGGGCAATTTGGTAAATTTTATAGAAAAAAAAAGTTACATATCCAAAAAGCCTCAAAATACATTTTGACCCAATAAATGCATTTTTAGGAATTTATGAAACATAAATTATTAAAGACATTCAAAAATTTTGCTTTACCAATAAGTGTGTTATCGGAATGTTGTTTATATTAGAGACCAACATAGTTATAGTTAATAGAATGTGATAAAGCCATACATAGAATATTATACAGGCATTAAAAACTACATAGTAGTTAAATATTTAACATAGAAAGGTGTGTGTGATATAGTGATATATTAAAAATACAGTTTTAAAACTGTATTTTGAAAACTGTGTACTCAGAATGTTGATAATACGTGTTAAGTGCATATAAATGTGTATATTATGAAGTTACATGTACAAAATACGATCAGTAGACAGTGAGATAATGAGTGTTTTAAATTCTGTATGCTCACTAGTATTGTCTAGTGTTTATTTCAAATATTTCCTAACCTCAAGGTACCTGTGAAATTTTGCAATTGAAAAATTCCACATTAATAAAGATAAAAAGCCAAAGTAAAGAAAAGGTAGATTTGGTAAAGTAATAATCTGTTGTGCATAAAGTGTTGTGCTTCTTAACACAGAAGCAATAATTTAGCTATAATTAAGTCATATTGAAGTTCTAAAATATTCCAATGAAACATTTGCTTTAAACCACTGACTTGAGCTATAGGAATAAAAATTTTAGAGTCAAATATTTGAGACTCTTTAAGTGTGATTCCATTACACATCAGAGCTTCTCAATCTCATGTGAGCAGTGGTCTTAAAGTTATTTAAGTACTATGAATCAATCATTATAATGTAGTTGGTACTATAGTAATGTAGAGAGCATACTTTTACCTTAAAAGTGTAGTCTGTTGAATATTGAAGATCTTTTACACGGAAATCGCAATTCTTATGCGACTCATTTCTAACCAGAGTATTTCCAGCTTCAACTTCCAAATGGTAACGTTCATGGGGGCCATTACGGTCCCTGGGAGGCCTACACTTGACATGCATACTATTATCTGATGTCATGGAGACAGTCATGTTCCAGACCTGGCTTGGAGCTATCAAAATGAAGAAAGATTTGTTATTAATAATTTAATAGATGCATATGTAAATTACTTGACAATACTTGGATATAGTATAAAGTATTTTAAGTGTTAGCTTGGGGGTTATAAATAAGGAAGTTATGATAGTACATAAATTAAAAAACAATATCAAAACCCTGAAGAATAAATCACTCATTTATTCAGTAAGTATTAGCATATAGGTTGTACATGAAGCCATGAGAGTTATTGCAATCCCTGAAGGAGACTGTGTAGAATTAGAGAATAGAGAAAAAGGGAAGGGAGTGGGGAAGAGGGGGAAGTTTGGGGAGAGGAGAGGAAAAATGTTGTTGATTGGGAAACCTCCAAGTCCTATTACACAATCTAGACCCTTCTTTCCCGGAGTGCTAATGTTATCCTGGTAAACACCTAGATGGGTTCTTCAGGAACAGAAACAAATTGTCTTCTTTTTCTGTGATACAGAAACTCAGGAAAACAACAAAAGCATAGAGCTCCAGGACCAGAACTTTTCAAACCAAAACCTAAATGACCTTAAAAGTGTCTTATATTCAGCCCCAAATAGCACAATATTTCTTCACAAGTCTAGTGCCCGTTAGGGTCTCTGGAGCTATAGATGCTGCCTTAAAACACGGCATTTCTTCTTCCCTGTCCTCGATGGAGGTTAACATGTGCCCCAGAAGCAGATCTAACTTTGGGCCTGGAAACTATGGAGAGATTATACTAGTGGCAAGAGCCAAATGCCATTGAAAGGAAACCTTAAATGGATAATGTGACATAAAATAGAATAGTAAGTAGTTGAGGGTAACGAAGAGAAGAAAATGCTAATAAAATATTACATTTTATGAAATGTTTTATCAGATGAACAGAGGTTAGTAGGCTAATGCTTTATGAGACATTGTTAGGTTTCTGATTACAATTAATATTTCCAGATAGTAAAGACAACAGCAAACAGTGAATGTTTTAATCTAAGTTGGTTAAGTACTTAACTGCATGAAATTGCACAAACTGATGCCAATTAAGATGCTTTTATGCTTTGTCCTTAAAATTCTATGACTATATCTGAAGAAGAGAGAGAATCCAGGATAACGGTTTTTAAACTTTTAGATTTTACGTGTTTATAAGCCCTAGATGTTAACAAATGTGCCAGGTAAATGTGCTTGCTAGAATAAAGATAGAAATATTGTAGGCTAAAAAGTTCATACCTTGCTTTTTACCATTTATGGAAAGAAGCATTAAAACATATAACTTACGAGCACTTTTAGTTGTGAAATGACACATTGCAGCACTTCCATTACGTTGCACTTTTGCAATGATGTAGGCATGTAATGATAAAACATATTTCGTATAAGGTTTTAAATTTTGCAAATCATATTTGATCAGGTTTTTATCCAGATTGAGGCAATCTTTTTCTGAGGAAAAATGTGAAAAAAAATTAGTAAGTCGTTAAAAGTCAGTACTACCACGTACCTAATTAATTTGGTCTCTACATCACATTGTTCCAAGTGAACTCCAAACTATTGAGTGATTGAAAAATAAGTACATCCTTGATACTCAAAAGTACCTACAATTATCAGCCAGTGTATTGAACAAACTCAATTATCATTGGTAAAATTAAATATTGAAAAATTATGGTTTTATATCATTAATTTGGTACATAAAATATTTAATAAGTTCAGATTCATTTGTGAAGACGATCTCTTTTGTTTCTGAGAAAACACAGCCCCCAGTGTATACTGTAAGTCTTGAGTTGCATGTTTCAGAATGATTCTTTTTTAGAAAACCTTTTCTGATATGTAACCTCCAAACTTTGAACATCGGTATTAGCTACTGTTTTGAATGTTAGATGCAGAATCCATTTGATCATCAGTCATTGGGTTGATTCTATCATAGTAATTTGGACACTACAGTAATTAACGGGAGCTGTGAGAATGAGGGAGTTTCATGCCGGAAGTGGAATTCAGCTGTTCATTGAAAGGTAAGTGGAACTGAATACATGTAAGGGAGAAAAGAAAATATTACAAACGGAAGAAGGAATGTTTTTGAGTTTAGTGACAAACCTGATCAGGACAACAGCTCTGGCTGGGGAGGCATATGAGAGGTAGGACAGTGTCTAAGTGTGTTTTCACACTCAGGCAGAAGACTTAGCACTTGTTAAGTAAAAAAATCACCAGCTGCTGCTATTTTTGAGTAGCCAAGTGACATCAGGAAAGAGGATGATTAGAGTGGCAACATGTTTCTGGATAGCAGCAACAGTAATAATAATATCAATAACGATTTTTAAAAATAATAACTCACTGTATGTGCCAAGCACTGTTTCAAGGGGTATACATGAAATAATTAATTTAACCATCACTGCAACTATTAGTTGGTACTCACTATCATCTGATTTTACAGATGACAAAACTGAGCCACAGAGAGATTAAGCAATTTGTTCTGTTTTTTTTTTCTTAAAAAAATAAAAGGCATTACACAAAATAATTTCCAGCAACATCATGGTGGTCTTGAAAGGTGCCTATTGCTTTCAGTAACTTTTGAAAAATAATCCTTTAAATCCAATAAAGCACAAAAGATCTCTTCCCCAATTCCCCAATTACCAAGAAGCTTCACTGTCACTTGCCATCATTAAGTTAACGAGATAAAACTGCAGTTCTCCAAAATATCTTAAGCTAAAAATGTGAGGAAAAATAAACAAACACACTTTGGGAGGCCGAGGCGGGCGGATCGGATCACACGAGATCAGGAGATCCAGACTATCCTGGCTAACACAGTGAAACCCCGTCTCTACTAAAAATACAAAAAAATTAGCCGGGCGTGGTGGCGGGCGCCTGTAGTCCCAGCTACTAGGGAGGCTGAGGCGGGAGAATGGCGTGAACCTGGGAGGCGGAGCTTGCAGTGAGCCGAGATCGCATGACTGCACTCCAGCCTGGGCGACAGAGGGAGACTCCCTCTCAAACAAACAAACAAACAAAACCAAGAGCAGAAAGGAAACAGATCAAGCTACTGAACTTGAACATCTATCACATTTTCTGTTAACCTCAGTTTCATCATATGAACTATGAAGATATGTATGCACATCTCCACTGAGTTATTAAAATAGTTGATAAAATCTTTAAATAATACATAATTAAAAAAACCTGCTAAACCAATAAAACTAAATTAATGTCAATTGCATTTTTTCTCCTCTTTTAATCCCTCTCTTTTAGAGACACTGAAAAAATTAAATTGTGAAGTAATGAAGTGAAATTTAATATCTGATTAAAAAGTAAACTGCAAATTTCATAGACTTTCTTCCTGTGGATTTTTAATAGTAATTTTATTTAAAATGGTGAGAAAAGTTAAGTTGCCTTAACGATACTATAATCCTATCAACTCTCTTTGCCTTAGGTAACATGGGAGAGGAGACAGGTATATGTTTGAGATGAAGGAGAAAACAAAAGCGGAGCACGCTGTTTAGAGTAGAGCTGGCTCCAAAGAGCCCTTTATGCAGTGTCAGGGCATGGTCCAAAGCTGCATTCAGTCACCAATCGGCAGCTTTGGAGAAAAGAAAACACACAGCCTGATAGCTAGCCTCCCCTTCTCAGCCATTCAATCCCGTTTAAGTGTTCTATGTGGACAGCTGTTAAATTTGGGTAACACTATTTAGTTGCCCAATAAGAAGGACCCATGCTAGTTGCTGTAATGAGTTGCTACTAACTCATTACATCCTTTTTACCCTAATTATGCAAATACAGTGGAAATACAGTTTAAAAAAACTGTAAAAATATAAAAGAGCCATAAATGCATAAAATGTCTACCATATACTCTGACATCGACAATACTCTCTAGTAGAGAGAGTGTAGACATTGAGGAATGCAGAAAGGGATAGTGAATAGAAGATTCAGAGAAGAGAAAAAAAAAATGAACAATGTGTTCCCATAGAAGCTACACAAAGTGTTTGTAAAAGAGGTGTCCAATGAGGCAGACAGTACCTCTGCTGTTTTATCTTCCTGGAATTTCCATTTTTCCTTCCACATAGACTTAACTTTTAAATTTATCATAACCTCAAATATATAGTATATATTTATTTTCCTTGGCCTTTGAATGTTAATTTGAAAACTACATGCATATTTAACTTTGCTTTAGTAGTCTGATTATTAAGACCTAAAGACACTAGCAAGAAAAGGCCATTAAAATATAAAATAACATAATGAAGAAAAATAGCCTTTCACTTTTCAAGTTTTGAAGTGTATGTCTGGTTCCTTCCCCACAGCACAGAGTGACAGAATTCTATGAGGTTCACTTCATTCCTATTTTAACCTATGGATAAAAGAATAGAGAAAGGGCTATCCCAGGCATTGAGGCTGCTCTGAGATACTCCACTGATGTTACTTTCTACAAACAATTTAGATACTTTAAATTGTCCAGAAGATATTTGTTCTCTTAAATAGCATCTCATTTGAACATTTCATGAGTGAACTAGTCATAGCACATTTCTTTCTTCTTCTTTTTTTTTTTAATTGCATTACTTCTGCAGAAGTCTAATTCTAAACTTAGAACTATGCTCCCAAGATTACACCAAACTGGCCCCAGCGGCTACATGGGCCCATGTTCATTTTTATTCACCCAACATTTTGTCTGTATTATTAGCTGAAACAAGTTTTACAAGGGGTTTGCTTGTTTGTTGGTTTGTTTAGGAGGCTGAATGATGAGTTCAAAGTGAGTCAAATCACTTACATAATACTTGCAAGACAGAAATGAGTGTTGTCATCCAGAGGTTTTCTGTCTCTAGGCTTTGGAGCACAAAGATTTAAACTAAGACCAAGAAGGACAAGCAAATATTTAGAATGTTCTGGATTTTAGTCATTTCTGGGGCTGGAAAGCTTTGAATGAGTGGAAGCAATTCTAAGATCAGGGAGTATACTATGCCTATGCAGTCTCTAAGCAGAGAGCTTTGTGACTCACTGGCTCAATAAAAATTTCTAGTACTTTCAAATTCTTGATTTCTCTTTTCTGATGAAATTAAATTCTACACAAATTACCTGTCTCTTTTATATAACAGAGGGTAAAATTATGAAATGATCTTTGAGGGGGATTCCAGGTAATTACTCCTTGATGTGCAGCTTCACTTCTACAAAAAATAATCTGAGGCTCTCCTGGACCTGTTAAAAGAATAAGAATGTTATGTAATATGAAAAATAAGACATGGATAAAGCATTCTTCATATTATAAGCATGCATTATTGATAACCATATTTTGACAAATGATGAATTCAAAATAAAATTTAAAGAAATGCATCTGGGCTCATTTAATTTGTTTTAGAGTAAATTCCTTTAACAAAGTAAATGTCACACCAGATTGGCACTGTGAAACCTAAGCATTCCACTGACTTGAAGATATCTAAGAACCCCCTCTTCCTTTCATATACATTATTCATATATATTCTTGCCCAGATACTACCTAAAAATCCTGGAATTTGTAGATTTTGCTGTGCTAAAAATCTGGCATTCATAGCACCAATAAATTTAGCAGTCATTGAGTAGCACTTGTCATTGCTTCCAGTAACTAGTCATTTGAAACTGAGAAAAACTGATAAATGTTTAAATAAAATGTCTGAAGTAAAATTTACATTAAAATGTACCCATTTGAGATACAGTTTAATGCATTTTTAACAAATGTATACATCCACATAACCAACACCACAATCAAGATAAAGAAAATTTCTGTGATCCCAAAATGTCCTTCTGTGGTACTTCCCAGTCAACTCAGCTCCTTTGACCAGACTCACGTACCTTCTGATCAACTTTCTGTTAACTACAGATTAAGTTTGTCTTTTTACCCATTGCATGTAAATAAAATGAAACAAACAGTAAGTACTTTTTCACTCCTAACATATTGCACTCAATGTAATGTTCTGAAGATTCATTCACTTAGTTGCATGTGTCATAGTTAGAATTTTAAAAAATTATCAGTAGTTATTGTAAAGATACACCACATTTTACCTAGGATTCAACAGTGAATACACATTTGGGCTGTTTCCAGGTTTTGGCTACTATGAATGCATCTGCTTTGTCATGTTTCCTCTTTGGTAAATACCTGGAGTGAAATTCCTGGGTCATGGCTGCACATCCTGACCAATAGTTAGTAGTATCCGTATTCTTAAGTTTAGCCATTTTAATGGATGTATAGTATTATCATCTCAGTGTTGTTTTAATTTGTATTTCTCAGTTAACTAATGATGCTGAGCATCATTTAATGTGCTTATTAACCACCTGTGTATCCTCTTTTGTGAAGTATATATTAAAAATGTTTGTCCATTTTCAATTGAGCTGTTTTAGTCCTTATTTTGCAGCTGAAAGAGCTCTCTGTATATTCTGGAAAAACTTCTGTTGTTGAAAAAATTAATTTTGATTTTTTACAAACTATTTATTGCTTTTTTATTTCCTTAGTGGCCTCATCCAAAGAGCAGGAATATTCAATTTTTATGCACTCCAATTCATCAAAAAAGTTTTATGTTTCTTGCTTTTGTGCCCTAGGAAATCTTTGCTAAAGCTACACATTTTCTCCTATGTCTTTGATTAGAATTTTTTAAATTATAGCTTTAGTATTTAGGTCTGGAATCCATTTTGAATTAATTTTTGTGTTTGTTGAGAGGTGAGAGCTGATGTTCATTTTTTTTCTACAGAGATACCAGGATCATTAGTTGAAAAGACTATTTTTCCCCCACTGAAAACATTTTGTGCTGTTTTCAAATATAAAACATAGTTTTCTGGGATTTCTATTTTGTTGCATTGATTATAAAGAATGTAATAATTGTGGTACTAATAAAAATACATTAAAATTTTCTAGTTATGCTGAGGATATAGTTTTTACATAGTTTTATTTGCTGTTCTTGTAGCTATATATTATTTTGGAGAAGTATGAGGAGACAAGGATTTAGGCAGCCTCTTTAGCCTTCAACTATCCTTTTTACATAAAACTTAGAATCACGGGCCGGGCATGGTGGCTCATGCCTGTAATTCCAGCACTTTGGGAGGCCAAGGTGGGCGGATCATGAGGTCAGGAGATTGATCTCTACTAAAAATACAGAAAATTAGCAGGGCGTGGTGGCACGCACCTGTAGTCCCAGCTACTTGGGAGGCCGAGGCAGGAGAATTGCTTGAACCCAGGAGTCAGAGGTTGCAGTGAGCCGAGATCACGCCACTGCACTCCAGCCTGGGCAACAGAGCGAGACTCCGTCTCAAAATCAAAACAAAACAAAATTTAGAATTACATTTATAAGTTTTGTCAAAAATTTCTCAATATTATCATTAATAAACAAATTCAGTAATGTGACAGACTGCAAGATCAATACAGAAAAATCAATTGTACTTTTGTACATTAGTAACAAACCTGAAAATGTGATTAAGAAAACAACAGCATTATAACCAGGAATAAACTTAAACTAGAAATAAATTTAACAGAAGAATTATAACACTAATGCACTGAAAACTACAAAACATTTTGAAAATAAATTAAAGAAGACATAAATTAATGGAAAGATATCTTGTGTTCATGAACTGGAAGACTAACATGGTTAAGATGGCAATATTTCCCAAATTTATCCACAGATTCAATGCAATCCCTGAAAGAATCCCAGATGGCTTCTTTATAAAAATTGAAAAGTTGATCCTAAAATTCATACAGAATTCCAAGTTCCCTTAGATATTCTAAACAATCTTGAGGAAAAGTAACAATTTGGGGGAACTTACAGTTTCCAGTTTCAAAATTTACTACAAAGCAGCAGTAATCGACAGTGTAAGTATGACATATAAATCAATAAAATAAAACTGAAAGTTCAGAAATAAACCCATCATTATGGTCAACTAATTTTTGATAAGAATGGCAAGACTATTCAGTGGGGGAATAAATAGTATTTTCAGCAAATGGCGCTGGAAAAATTAGATGGCCATATGCAACAAAATGAAATTAGACTGTTACCTCACACCATATACAAATATTAACTCAAAGTGGGTAACAGAGCTAAATTTAAGAGCCAATGCTATAAAATTTTTAGAACAAAACATATGGATAAATCTGCATGACTTGGCAATGGACTTTCATATACGACACCAAAAACATAAGCAAAAGAAGTAAAAATAGATAAATTGCGCTTCATTGAAATAAAAAGCATATGCTTAAAAAGTATCAAAAACAGCAAAAAGACAATTCATTTCCTATGATTCTCAAATAATTATAAGAACATGAAGAGAGAAGCAATTTTACATATAAATGCAAGTAACATACTCACTCCCAAAATCTGTTTTAATAATTTTACTTGCGTTAGTAAACTTGTGGTTATTATAGAGTATTTCTGAGTCACACTTATACTCATGTTCGGGTTCAAGGTTTTCTAATTTAATTTCTTTATTATCAAATATCATATTACCTGAAATAAAGAAATATTTCGAATGAATATATCGATGCAATATTTCACGCACACATTTATTTTCTAATTTCACATTTATAATTCTCTATTTAATATTTATCAGATTGAAACATCTGTGGAAATTACCAAAATAATAAAAAACCCTAAAAATAATTTTTACATTCAACTTTTATGAAAATACAGGCTGAGTTTCCCTTATTCAAAATTCCTGGCACCAGAAGTGTTTTGGATTTAGTTTTTTTTTTCAGATTTTGGAATATTTGCATTTAGATGATACAATATATTGGGAAGAGGACACAAGTTCAAATGCAAAATTCATTTATGTTTCATATATACCTCATATACATAGCTTGAGGTCATTTATTTTTCTCTGGGGATGCTGACTAAATTCTGTGTTATGTTTCTGCATTTTGACTATGACCAGTCACTTTAGGTCACGTGTAAAATTTTTCACTTGTTTGAGCCGCATCATGTTGGCACTCAAAAAGTACTGGATTCTGAGAACATTTTGGATTCTGGATTTTCAGATTAGGGATGCCCAATCTGTATATAGCAAATACAACTTAAAGTTGAAATTGCACCTCACCTAGTCTTCATCTAATAGATTGTCTAGAGAGAACATTTTATCATTGGTCTGTCATGATTGCTCTTCCTTTCCTTGTCTGCTTGCCTGATGGCCATGAATCTATACTATGGTGATTAGGTGATGATTACACCCAGCGCAATGCTCCATCCTCTATGTGTGTAGCTGTGGATATGCGTGCATGCGCATGCACACCTGAGCACATCTGTCTGTCATGCCAGCTATGGCCTGGCAGATGGCTTTAAGTCAAAGGGTGGGAGAGTTCACCTCATTAAATTCAAATACACTTTAAAAATACTATCTCAATTATTAGTTGCCTCAATTCAAATCCAAACATATCCCTAGATGCACTTGCTGTTCTTTTTCTGCTTTCTTCTTATTTAAGTGTTCTTGAACTTGTGTATGAATTTTGTTGATGCAGGATGGAAAAAGTAAACTCTTGAACCATACAATCCTGTATTTTTTTTCCTTACTTCATAACAGAGTTTGTGTATTATCATTTCCTTATAACACCCTTCTTTCATGATCTCTTCAACAATGCCTGTGTATAACAATTGCCAAGAAAATTATTGTAAATTAATTGACTTTCAATTTTTAGATATTTATTTTTCATGAAAAGTATTCATTTATTTTGTGAATTTGTTTGAATTGTATAGGTAATTTAATTATTTGACTCTAAATATACCACAGACCAAGAAAAAGACAAGAAAGAAAAAAGACAAACAGAGGGAGAACAAGAGAGGCAGGGAGGAAGAGAGAAAGGGCAGAGAGTAAGATTAAATAATATCTAGAACAACATTGTGCCACAAAAAAAAATTCTCTGGTCAATGTTATATTCTTACCACACTGAAATCTGTAGGTAATATTCTGTGTATCACAAGTAAAGGTTTCAATATTTTTCCATTTTAAACAAATAGTAGTATCTGCTTTTTCAACTTGTGTACAATCATGTAACTGAAACTTTTCAACCCCTGACAAGAAGATACAGAAATAAACTTGATTAGTATTTCATAATGTGTATCCTAAGCCCTCATTCATTCCTAACATGTCAGTTAAAGCCACTGAAATTATGCTAATGACATAGAATTTGGCAAGGATTGAGATTGCTATGGGAAAAGTCTAATAACTCTAGGGATTTGTTTCTTTTATTATTTACTTTATTATTTTTAGCACCATATATTTTGGTAGTGTTTCATTTATAAGTTATACCACGTTAAAAAATGAAATGCAAGCAAACATATTGATAAAATTGTAGCTTTCGCACATTTTAAAAAACACTCATTCCATTTTGTATTTTTGTTTTTATCTTAAATTTTTTGTTTACTCTTTACTTACTTTTAATTGAATGATTATTATAAAGTGTATTGGGAGTTTCCCTATTGGGAAATGCATTTTTAAGTATTGTCATCTTCTGTGTTTAATTGGTAATTTATCTCAGTAATATTTAGGGAAAATGAATAAATTAAATGGATTTTATTTTCAAAATACATTTGATGTTAACATATTTAAATGTTAACAAATTTATTAATAGTCTTGAATTATTAAATGATATGACTTTTTAAAAAAATTACACGGCTCTGGAATCCCTTTTCCAGAATGCATTTGGCTAAGAGATGCTTCCCCAGAGTCTGCCCGACGCCTGTCACCCCCTCCTCTTTCCAAGCAGTAGCTTAGCTGACAAAACCAACTTGATCTCACTAACATGACCATAACCTTCCTTTTTATGAATGTATTTTGGTTCTTCCCATACACATCAAATCCTTTATGTTTCTCCCTAATATATTTCAGATAAATTTGTACTTAAAAGAATAAATATATGTACATATATAATTAATACTTCATTTAAGTAGAGGAGAATAAAGAAAGCTTGCAGACAATCACTTAGCAGGATAAACTATATTTAGTGCACATAAACATCTCCCTGTTAAATAAGTAGAAGTGGTGATTAATGGATGTAAACAGAAGGCTTATTTGACTCTATCATTTTTACTTGGTTAAGACAGCAGAAAGTTCACCCACTTGTTTCCAAGGAATTTCCTTTCCCTCAGCCCTGTTCTCTCACCAGACTAGCTCCTGTGACCACTGGAGAACACCACACACAAAAGTGTACTGTTTTTATAAATTTATTAAAAGAAATAAATTGATATTTACCTGGTGGCACATCTAATATTAATGTCTTATCAGGAGCAGTACATGAATTATGAGATATGGAAACAGACGCATTTTTACATTCTGTAAGGTTATGCACCTCATTGTTTGTGCAAGTATTGTTTCCACATTCCACATTCTCATTAACATTTAGCTTTGCTGTAAATAATTTAGTTTCCTTGTTATATAAGTAATCCACAGTGATGTTTGCATATTTTTCATCTAAAAGAAAATAGAACATTGAGTGTTATTTTTCCAGAATAAATAAAACTACATTAATGCAAATGCCAAAATATCAAATCAACTAACCAAATATCCCCAAAAAACATGAAAAAGAAAAAACACATTAGGTGCCTCCATATCATTTTTTTCGTAATTATCTGTGCTTTACTGCCCTAACAAGGACCTCAGCTTGTAAATTTATATTTGGATGATTACCAGATAAGTGTCTGTCTTCCTAGCTGGACTTGGAACTTCCATGAGAGCAAAGTCTAGGCTATTTTTATTATCACTGTAAATTCAGGAGTATGCATAATATGTATCATTAATGGGAACTCACTAGTTACTTGTTGACTTGATGCACAAATAAATGATGCATTTGAGAAATTTATTCTTGCTTTATAATTTTCTTGTTTTCTAAAACGTAGTTATTAACCACCTGTTTCTTGATATATGTGGGGCATTAATTACTCAGGGATCAGAAGCCCTCATTCTTTCCTTAACTTGGGTAAAATTATGATTGATAATATACCTCCAAAGCACCTTTGTTTAGTGTCAACAATTTCTGCTGACTGATAAAAATATCTTTACAACAAATATAAATTTATTCATTTGTTTTTATTCAACAAAAATTATTAAGCCCTTGTCATATGTAAGACATGGTCACCAATACTAGGAATTCAAAGGCAAGTTAGATATAATCAGCTTTTAGAAATGTATAATCCAGTGTGGAGGCAGACACAAGCATGAATTGCAGGAGACATACAAACCTCTAAAATAAGATTATGCAGGAAATAATGTGGCACTAGAAAGAGAGAGATCTGTTCCATTTGGAGGTATAGGACAGGATTTCCAGAGAAAGTGACTTAGTTTGTGTTTTAAAATATGAGCAGGAAATAGAAAAATAGACATGGGGTTTGGGGGATGAGGTTGGAGCAGAATTCCAATTGTAGAGGAAGAGCAGGAGTGGCCACAGAGGCAGGAAGGAACAGTATGTGTTTACAAATCTGTAAGTGGGCCAGGCGTGGTGGATCATGCCTGTAATCCTAGCATTTTGGAAGGCCGAGTCAGGTTGATCACCTGAGGTCAGGAGTTCAAGACCAGCGTGGGCAACATGGTGAATCCCAATCTCTACTAAAAATACAAAAATCAGCTGGGCTCGGTGGCATGTGCCTATAGTCCCAGCTACTTGGGAGGCTGAGGCAGGAGAATCACTTGAACCCAGGAGGCAGAGGTTGCAGTAAGCTGAGATTGTACCACTGCACTCCAGCCCGGGCAACAGAGTGAGAAAAAAAAAAAAAAAAGAAAGAAAGAACTAACGAATGAAAGAAAGAAAGAAAAGAAAACTGAAAGTGGTTCCATATTACTTAAGTGAAGAACATAAGGAGGCAATGATTCAAGAGGCGGGAGGAGAGATGAATGACAACCGGATTACAAAAGATCATATTAATTAAACAGACATATGAAGGCCACTCTTTACACTAAATGTATGGAAAGCTACTGAAGGCAGTGACTCCAGTGGTTAGACTTAGAAATGAATGGAGGAATAAGCCCTGACCATGAAGAACCGCTTTGCTTCAACTGAGAATCAAGGAAGAAAATGAGAAAAAAAAAAAGAGAGACAAACTGTTTTCAAGTATCTGCTTTGAGCCAGCCCCTAACAAGCAAGACAGAAAGAGAGAGAAAAAGAGAGATTTTTCTTCTTGATAAGCTTTGAAGGTATTATCCACATTTTATATTTATCATCACACTGAATCCTTGTCCCCCTCCCCCTCACCAACAAACTTGCTGTTATTCCATTTTTTTTTCAAATACCTAAATTAAATTAAGTGGCTTTACCAAAGTTGTCTAACTGGAAAACTTAGTTTTCAACTTTTATTTTGGATTCCAGGGTTATATGTGCAAGTTTGTTACAAAGGTATATTGCAGGATGCTGAGGTTTGCAGTAAAATTGAATTCGACGCCCAGCAAGTAGGCACAGTTCCCAATATAGGTAGTTTCCCAACCCTTGTCTTCCTCCCTCCATCATCGCTCTTGTATTTCCCAGTGTCTATCATTCCCAACTCTATGTCCATGTGTAGCTAGTAATTTTTTACTAATTTGAGACTAGTCATCGGTGAGAAATTAGAGCCAGTGAGTTTAGCTTACTAGTGGGTCCTGAAAGCTTGGAATAAAGAAAGATGTAATTAAAGTGCTATTCCAAAGTGAGGTATGCTGATTCTAAGTAAATAAACTTACCACATGTTGGCTTAGATGGAGTAGTAGCTGTAATGGAGAAAAAAAATGTAAATTATTAAAATTTTGCTTTAGAATATCTGCCATGTCATTTTTGGGAAAGCTGATTTACAATACTTCTACTTCATAAAGTCTATCTAGTTAGATTTAACAGAATATGAAGGATTTGCCTAGTACAGGTTTTCATTTCAAAACTTAAAGCATTATAAAGGAATGAGCTAATTCTATAAAATTTTTCATAAATATACCCAATAAATACAATTAACAATATTAAGACTTTTAGGTACGCATCTAATTGGCGGTATGGCAACATGGCTGAAGATTCACACAGCCAAAAATATTTTAAAGGTCTTCATATTTTGATTAATCTCAATGTTAATTTATATAATTATAACCCCCATAGTACGAAGTTTATACTTTTCATTTACATAAAAAAAAGTCAGAGAAAATGCAAAGACTGCTTCATTCTCTAGATTAACTTTTGTAAGCTCTTTGCACATCTACTAGATCCAGGGTAACAAATTGCTCTGTCAACAAATTTAGCAGTATCTTGTGTGAGTGTAGGCATTTAAGTTGAATAATTGGGAGAACATGTGCTTTGTGTAAGCTAAGAGATCTCTGCTCATCTTGATTTTGGGTTGGAAGAATTTGAGGAGAATTGTGGGCTTGCAAGCTCTGATCAGCTTACTTGCTGATTCACAGATACCACCATTGCTGCAGCCATTCCTCAGTTTCTCTTTCCTTTATCTCCACGCCCTCTCACTGCTTAACGGGAACTCTGCCATCAGCCGTCTGATGCTCACCACTTGCAATGGACAGCCCCTTTGATGGGCTTGTTCTTTTCCTTACTAAGACCTAAACCCCTGTGAGAAAAAGTTCTAGTAGATGTGGTTGTTTCTCACACATGCTTTCTGATGAATTATGACAGTAACAATTACATCCTGATCTCATCAGCTGTTGCACTGCTAAGCAGAGAAATATCTTCCTGCTGTTCCATCACCCTCAGGATTCAAACACTTAATGCAACTTAAAGAAAGGAGCCCGAGGTAGAGTGGGTGGAAGGCCCTTGTGAGAGCACATCACCAGGCACATGGGGATGGTGTGGCTGCCTGACTGAGGGTAATATCACCTATTGTTGTGGTTGAAATGACAGCGCTTCCAGAAGGGCTCAGAGTGGTTGTTTCAGAGGCATTAAGGTAGGCATCTGCAAGAAAATGAATAGAAGAATAAAAGCTAATTAATTCGTTATATTAAAAGGTGAAAGAAAAACTCTTTAGCAAAGATAATTTCCTATTGGCATCTTTGCTCTAGGAGTCCTCGTTTGATTTGACATTCGCTTGTTTTTAAAATAATAAAGTGAATCAAAGATTTATTTCAAGTTATTTAAACTAAACATTGTATAAATTGAGGGAAAACTATTCATTCCTTGATATAATTCTTAGTTGATGATATGCAATCTTCCTCAGACTATTCATTTCCCTTTCATTCACGGCTTTCCATACTTGGATTCTAATAAGCGTCACAATTACTCTTTTAAAATATTTATTACATACCAGATTTTTACATATTCAGACATCACGTTAATTATTTTGACATAATTAAAAAAGGAGTGTTATTATGTCCATTTTTACAGAAAGCAAATCTGATATGCAGAAAGTATTAGTAATTTGCCCTGTAATCAGCTACGAAGTTGAAGAAATTGGATTTGATCCCAGAGCTATATGACATTAAGGCCTATTATTGATTCTTCTTTGCCATGGACTTTTATAATATTAATAGTAAAATAAAATATGCCCAGAAAAAGCTTACTGGCAAGTTTCTTTTGCATAATTTGGTGTTGATACGTGAACATTTGTAAAATGGGAAACCTACAAATAATATCTGGCACAAAATAAAAGAGCTACATTAAAGTTTTGAGTTTCCATTTCATTATCTATAACTGAAGACACTACTAGAGCAGCATAGTCAGACCTGAGGTGTTCGCTGTGATGGTGGTGTTGGAGGTGCGTGCAGGTAAGGCAGCAGAGCTGTGGTGTGCAAGGCTGAGGGTGGTTGTCAATGGGGAAACTGGGTCTGTAGGAAAGGTGCTGGCTGTACTCCTCTCTCCTGGGACATCTGCAATCAGAAGGGCCATCAGCACTGTCACTTGTGTCTGTCACGCAAGGGCAATAGCCAGATAGCCAACATAAACACAATTACTAAAGATAAGGCAGAGAAACAAATCTTCAAGCACTTCTGCTATACCACGACACATGCATTCTACAGAACTGTACCAAAAATACCAGGGCTTATGGGAAAGATGCATTTAGGGGCAGACAACTGGAAACCTATGCAGCTTCATAATCAGAGCACAACTTAAAAAAATATATAGTTTGGACAGCCCAAGAAGCCTAAGACTCTGGGCTGCAGGCTGCCTTAGGCAATATAAAAAATGCATCAAAGCAGTAGAGACTGGTGCTGTCTTAGTGGTGCTGAGACCATGTAGATGGAGGTAGAGCTCTGAGTGTAAAAGGTTGGCACAGGAGGAAGTGCAACTTGATACATGCTGAGAGCCTTGCAGGCACACACCTCTCTGGGGAGGGATCCCTGGGTGCAGGTGCTCAGTTTTAATTTTCTTAAAATAGAGCTGAATGGGATCCTGCCTGGGCCACAGCATGAGCTCAAAGGTTTTCTTTTTCTTCCTTTCCAGCTGAAGGTTACAATTCTACTTTCACAATTCAGGCTTCCCTGGCCAGGAAAAATCAAATTGGCTTGAAATCCAACAAACTCCACATTACAGTGGCATCATTCTCTTATTTTTCAATCACATAGTTGCTAATTGGTATAGAATCTAGTGTTGTAGCCAAAGAAACTGCACATTGTACTAGGTTAGAACTTTCCATTTTCAGGCTTCAAATTACCTAATGTATTTTACACCTTTGCCCAACATCACATCCAGAATTACAGCACAGGCAATCAATGTATATTCATTTGGTTCCTACTAGATGACTAGCACTATGCTAGTTGCCATGGAAAAAGCAAAAGAAATATGAGCTGCCCTCTATTCAAGAGCTTGTTGGGTTATTTTCTGTCAAGATCCCTGGGGTCATCAGTTCAATGATGTGAGATTAGTCTCACATTTGCAGGCAGAGTCTGTATTTCTGCAGTGATACATGCATGCACGTTCTGAACATGGCTTTGATTTGAGCTTGCAGGTGTCTACCAATTACAAATGCAGTACAGTCTATAATTTCACACATACATTCCATTAGAATTGAAAATGCATCTTCCAAATAATTGAGCATGGGTTCTCAGCTCAGTCTTCAAAAGCCACTAAACCACGAAATTTAACTAAACCATAGAATAGAATAAACAACATAAACATGAGGTTTTCCACTCTGGATCCCCAGAGGAGGGCTCCAGCAGAATATGTAGAAGAGTGAGGAAAGCTCATTTATTCATCCTTTAAAAAACTCATTCAGACATAGAACTGGCCCTCTGCAGAGTTTTGAAATCAGCTTTTTTCCACCTTCTTTTCCACACTCCTCTCACTCACTTGATCTGTTCTCCCCTCTCTAGCAGACCCTGCTCCCAAGCTGTTTTGAGGCTTCCACTCTCAACCTCCCGAAACTTCCTACCTTCCCTCCTCCTCACTTGAAAACTTCGTTTCCCTTGTTATGTAGGTACTCTCAGTGGTGGTTATGGACGGCATTTACAATTTTAATTAGGTTGATTAATCCTAATAGATTTTTCATCAGTGGAATTAGCCACTTCTTTGAGAAGAAGAATTCCTTGATCAGGACAGAGCAGACTAGTCTGTGTGACAACCAGCCCCAGGGGTCAGTCCCCTTTTGTTGTTTTACAGTTTCTGCCCCTCCACTATTTCTGGATCTGTGGGTTTGCTAAAAGCTCCAAATATTTTTATTGTGGTTCCCATGGCAGCTGGACTAGATGGAATGAGGAAGGTGAGGGCGGCTCTTCTCCCACTTGTTTAAAGAGTGTGGATTGCCTGGAATGATTTTTATGCCAAGGGCACAGTTTTAATACTGCAAAATAATAATTATTCTATTTGATGTGTTTGATTCCTACCTAAAGCAAGACCATGTTCCTACCAGCTACATAGGTCTACCATTTATATCTTTAACTTTCAAGCACTCAGATCACTGAAATTATATACGAGACTGTGTGGATTTGTGATCTGACAAAAGACATACTTGTTTTTCTTGCATATAAAAGGACACCAAGAAGTGATTTGGACACTAATTTTGAAAAGAAAAGGGAGGAAATATTCTGCATTGTTGTTATAAACACAGAGATGCCATCCTGAAAGATTCTTAATGTTTGAATGGGAAATAAACCCATTCCTTTCTTTTTTTCTCATTCTTTAAATAACAGTTTCATTGTGGTTACAATTTCTCACTGCCCTTCACTGATAATAGGAATCACTCTTCACCCTTTTGTTTGTTGGTACAAAGTCTTTAAGTAAAGATTTATGCATATTATTTCTTACTTCTAACAAAAAGTTTTCCCTGTAGAATGGTAATTGCCTGAAATATATAAAAAATAGACTATTCTGAATAACTCTTTCCTCCTGAGCAGATTTTTGCTGTAGTCTCACAATTCTCACTATTATTTCATCTCTGTTAAAAGGACATTTGTTCTGTGGTTTCATATTCCTAAGAGTGACTGAAATTCCAAATTCATCAACTAGCAATAGCTGCACATTGAATAAGTGGTTAGATTTCCTCACACCATTCTTAAATACAGGTAGTCGTCATGTACTTTTCATATTTGCACAAGTCTAAAGGACCCGCAAACCTGAGATAGCATTGCTGCCTGGGGTAGGGTTGAGTTTTGCATTGGCGGCGGAGCCGCTGAATGTCTGCGTGTCAGTTCCAGCAGAGGGCGTCTGCGAGTCTGCGTGCGTGGGAAGGTGAGGCGTCTGTACTGATGAAACACCTAAGGTAGGAAAGTGAGATCATTACATCAGTCTTCCCCCACTGGAGATGAATAATTTACTAAGAGGTTATAAGGAGCAAATTGCGATTATAGTTTACCAAACTGTGAAGTAACTGAATCTGTTAAAATGTGTCTGTCAGTATTTAAATTTGCTTGGCTGGAAAGTGACAGGCACCTGAGTCCTCTATTTACATAGCCTTGGGAGGTTTCCTGAGCTGGATGCAGCCATAGAGAATTCGTGTTTCCAGGTGGCTTTATTGACTTTCACATCACTATGAGCTTTCTGAATTCTCCATCAACTCTACAAACTGACAGATGGGACATTTCTTTGTAGGGAGAATAAGAAAGGAATCTTCCAATGTACTAGTATCTCTTACAAATTACAAAGAAAAGAAGAAATTTAAAAATGGACAAGAGATGTGACAGACATCTACCTAATATACAGAAGGGCCAAAAGGTATATGAAAAAGTGTTCAGTGTTAAGAACAATTTTTTAAATGTAAATCAACATGAAATATTTCTAACTAGCATACTGGCAGAGTTTTAAAAGGTTGATAATATCTAGTGTTTGAAAACATGTGGAAACAATCTCACATGTCCATGCTTACATACACGGTCTCTTGCATACTCACAAAATCATATGTTGAGAGCCTGGAGGATATACAACAATGGTTAAAAAGGTATCTTTAAGGAACAGAATTTAAAGGGTATTTTCATTGTGTGTCTTTTAAGTACATATAAAGTATACATTTTATATACTTTAATCCTATATGTATATATGTATATGTATGTATACATAGGATTAAAATATATACACACAACACATACATATACTTTATATATACTTAACAGTATATACAAATATATATATACACACATACCCATCTATATTGAAAATGCTTTGAAATAGTCATAAACTATCTTTATAAAATAAAATTACATAATTAAATTTAATGTTATGCACATGGATGGTCATTGTAGCCATTTTCAAAAATGAACAATTTTGAATAGTGTGTAATAATATTCTTAGAAATGCAGATTAAAGGATTTTCCCCCAATTATATCAGTAAATGAAAAAAATTGACTGCATTCAGCAGTATAAATCAATCATAATCATAAATTAAATAACTCATATAGACTTTATTCCAATAGATAATTGAAGTATCACCTGATGAAAAGATTATTTTCTAGAAAAGAAAGTGTGTTTTTATTTGAAAGCATGAACTTTTCAAGGTAATTTCAACATCAGTATTATTTTGCTAGAACAAATCAGTATTTTAAAATTATTCATCCTTATTTTCAATCTATTCAACTTTAAACCTTTCTCATACTTTGCTCTACCTGTAAATTTATGGCTTAAGTGGTTTTAGGTTTTAAAAATGTGGGAATGAAAAGAATGTTGCATGTTTTTATTTGTGCATGTGACGTGAAATACAGAACCTTCAAAAGGAAAACTCAATGTGACACTACTCAGGCAATAAACAAAATAATAAAATAGCATGAGATGTTCCACCTAGTCATCAGCACCTTCATCCTTGCATTCCTTTTGTAAAAATTTTGGGCAATGTGTTCAAATTTTTACAGTGTTTAGACAGGTCCTAGTTACTACTCTGCTATGGTGACAGGGAAACAAATGGAAGATTAAATACACAGTCTTGTACTTGCTGTAGGAAGGCACTGACCATTTATTTAACTGCTTACTATATCCAATAAACTTCATCAGTAAGGTACTCAAAATACTTTGATGTACCCTAAACAAAATTTCTGTGATGGTATTATATATGCTTGTTTTTCAAACGAAGATAAATGGCATTGTTAAACAGTTCAAATAGCTTAGTATCTTTTATCAGAGTATGTCTATAAACCTGTTTGCCCACAAAAAAGTCAACATAACACATTATTTCAGAAAAGCATGAACACTCTACTGATGGTAAATCTGAGTCTGAATACACTGGCAGACCTATTGCTAAACATTAAATGAGCATATACATATATCAGTATTCTAAGGAGCATAGTGCCCCTCCTTGGCAAAAATATCTCTTGCATCAATCTGATTTTTCCCGGGAACATGGCTACATTGCCTTTAATTTACCAGTAGAACTCACAACCTTAATTAAAAATGTTTTCAATGATGCAAATGCTCTTAAAAGAAACTCAAATAACAAAATTGGGTTGTCGATTCTCAGAGTGGATTTAAAAATAATACATTCTCTATCTTCAACAATTTTTGGATAAAGAGAATCTAGAGTGAAACAAAGAAATGGGAAGACTCCCATTTAAGACACCTTCCAAGGAGAGTAGAACTGATAATCTCTGAACTAGGGAAATTCTCATCTGTCCAGGTGGCGGGAAGCCAAGCGGGAGAATCATGGCGAGTGTGTATAGATCAGAGGATACTAGAACAAATTTCCCCTCCTGATTGTCCTTGGAGATCTTGCTTCCCTTCTTTTCTCTCTCCACTCCCTAACAACATGCATTAATTACTTCAGTCGATCTATATTTCACAGATACTAATTTCCTGCAATTTCTGCACTTGAATAAAATCACATACTTAGAAACTGTGCAAATAATTTAAAGACAAGTTGTACTGATAACTGTAGAATTTTCTAAATGACATTCCCTGATATTTAAGTTAACAACTTTTGTGTGCCAACCTGTGGTATTAAAAGCACTAGCATTATCCAAAGAGTCCGGGGATACTTGGGTGGAAGTATTGTCTGGACTAAGAGAAGTTGTGGTCTCTGAGAAGTCATTTTCTCTTTCAAAGGTGCTTGCGGGTGAGAATGCAGTGGTGTGAGTAGGTAAGGGGTCACTTGAAAGTGGAACACTGGGCATCTTTGCTGTAGTCAATCCTGTTAATTAATGGAAAATGGGAGAAGGACAAAATAAATATGTGAATCATACCCTAAATGTATGCTCCTCCCAGTATACTAACTCCCCAGTCCACTATAGTGTGTATGTACATATATCTACACATACATATGCACACACCATACATAAGTGTATGTATATGGTGTGTATATGTATTCATAAATATACATACACATATATGCATGCATATATACAAATATTGATGCATACAGAGATACATATAATATGTAGACACAGATCTAAAACAAGCTACAGAACATTAGCTAAAGATAAAAATGGGGAAATGAAATTGAAAGCAGCTTCTCGCCTATCCAAAGCAATTGAGTTCAGAAGGATGAAGCATAATGGTAAAGATGATTAAAAAAATTAAAAAGTTGTAGATAAAGAAAAGGATAGAGAAAGGTAAAGTTAGAAGGTTTTTAGCAGGGCTAGGGTTCCAGGGGAAAAAAAAGACAAAACTTCCATTTACTCATGGATATATATATATCCATGAAAAAATATCTATCTATATATATATATATATATTTTCTTTTTGAGACAGAGTCTCACTCTGTCACCAGGCTGGAGTGCAGTGGCACGATCTTGGCTCACTGCAACCTCCGACTCCCTGGTTCAAGCGATTCTCTTGCCTCAGCCACCCAAGTAGCTGGGATTACAGGCATACACCACCACATCCAGCTAATTTTTGTACTTTTAGTAGAGATGGGGTTTCACCATGTTGGCCAGGATGGTCTCGATCTCCTGACCTCGTGATCCACCCGCCTCGGCCTCCCAAAGTGCTGGGATTACAGGCGTGAGCCACCACGCCTGGCCTATTCATGGATTTTTTAAAAAATAAATTAAAAGCAAACAAAGCAATGAAAATGTGTGTAAAGGACTGAAAAACAAAACTCACAACTAGGTTTACAAACAACCAAAGTCTACAAAAATGTCTTTGACGTCATGATAACAAAGAGATACAATTTAAAATACTGAAATAATATCCACAGCTCAAGTTTACTTTAAGAAGAGGAAAATATGTGACAAAGTAGTAGTGAAATAAGTTTATGCACAGTTGACATGAGTGTACAATGGTAAAAAAAATTCTGCAGGGCAAATCAGCACTGTTGATTAAAGTCCTTTAAAGTTTTTTTAATGCTCTTTTACTGAAAAAAGTGATTTTCTTAATAAAAGAATAGAAAAATATACCAAATGTGTTAAAAAAAAAAAAGCTCATGTGATCTCTGGAGGTTGGAATTATAAAGATGTATTTAATTTTTTTTTTTTTTTTTGCTTAACATATATTTACTTTTTGAAAAGCAAAAAAAAAAATTTAAATATTTAATTAGGTAAAAACTGAACTATATCACACAACAAAAAATAATTAAATCAGTTCAACAAGATTGGGCAAAAGACAATGGCACAAATATGGAAAAAGGGAGAGAATGAGAGAAACTAGAAAAGGAGTAGAAATGATAGGACAGGAAAGAGTTAAGAATGAAAATTGCAATATTACTAGAGAAGAAAATGGAAATAGTATGATAAATAAAAAACCCAGCTTTATTCATTAGTATCAAAGCTAAAGTTAATTTTTACTAAATACAGATAAAATTCAATTGAACTTCAATTCCAATATACATGAAATATTGCAGAACTATTCTGTGATTACAGAAATGCAAAATGATCATAGACTTGTTATGTGTGTTATTTTCTAATGAAAAACTTCAATCTCTAGATTTTCATAACCAAATAACTCACAAATAAATCCATCAAACTTTTACCCATAATGACATGCCAGCATAGCCAACTAAGTACAGTAATAGGATAGTAACTACCTCTAGTCTTCAGTGTAAAATCAGGTCTAACTTTAGATTTTTTCAACTACTATGCATTGAATAAAAGAAAGGGAGGGAGAGAGGGTGGGAGAAAAGAAAGGAAAAGAAAAGGGGGTGGGAGAAAGGGAGTGGAAAGAAAGTAGGAAAGAAGGGAGGGAGGAAGGAAGGAGAGAGTTTAGAATTCTTTCTATTCACATTAAGTCACTGTCATCATTATAGACTTGATAATTATTAATTTGTTATTTTTAGGTTAAACCAATTCTGGTGTCTGCCTGCTTCCAATGATCCCTTTTGCTTTGAGAGAAATGTTTCAACAAGTTCCCTTTATCGTCCACTCTCACTCTTTCATTAGATGTGAATTACAAACAGACTAGAAGGAAAATCATGCAACATTCTCCTTATAATAGTATTTGATGGTTAATATTGAGTGTCAACTTGATTGGATTGAAGGATGCAAAGTATTGTTCCTGGGTGTGCCTGTGAGCGTATTGCCAAGGGAGATTAACATTTGAGTCAGTGGACTGGGGGAGGCAGACCCTCCCCAACCCCCCCACCCCCACCCAATATGAGTGGGCATCATCCAAGCAACTGCCAGCACGGCTAGAAAAAGCAGGCACAAGAAGGTAGGAGAAGTGAGCTTGCTGAGTCTTCTGGTCTTCATCTTTCTCTCGTGCTGGCTGCTTCCTGCTCTTGAACATCAGACTCCAAGTTCCTCAGCTTTTGGACTCTTGGACTTACTCCAGTGGTTTGTGAGGGGCTCTCGGGCCTTTGGCCACCAACTGAAGGCTGAACTGTCAGCTTCCCTACTTTTGAGGTTTGGTGACTTGGATTGGCTTCCTTGCTCCTCAGCTTGCAGATGGCCTATTGTGGGAATTCACCTCGTGATTGTGTGTCAATCACATAAACTACCCCTCATATACACATCTAACCTATTAGTTCTGTCCCTCTAGAGAACCCAGACTAATACATAGTACCACGCTATTTTGATGAGTAGCATTCCTAAAGATTACTTCTAGCCAAGCAAATTCAGTCCCAGGGGTAGGGAGAAAGGTTTTCAGAGAACTACTCTCCTTCATATCTTTGCACACATCTTAAGTTCAGTTCACATTCCCTTTCACAAATAAGAATTTAAAATTAGAAAACCTGACTCAATTGCCAATTCCACATTGTTCTTGAACCTCCACTTTGCAAATTCTCCTGGTTTCCATTGATGACATTGTTGTGGCCAATATTTGGGAGAGACCATTTTCCTTTGCATTTTGGTTAACAGTTTTAACTTACCTGGTTTCATCACTTGGAGGCTTGTCATAATAGAGTCAATTCAGAGATAACAGAAACTCCCTCAATAAGGTGATGAGTCATGTGTCATTTTAAAGAATCACTCCCCATTCTACCTTATACCTATCCCTTTCCTGCAAAAATAACCATCTGGTATGGTTGAGATGAATCTATCTTCTGTAAAAGTTGGAGATACTAAGTTGCATTTGAGTAGCTGGCATAAACCAATCACAATCTACTATGCAAGAATGACTTTTATTTATTTATAAAACATCACTGCCATGCTAAACGCTGTAAAATTGTGTTAGACCTTCTTTAAAAATAAGGAAATATAGTTCTTATGCAGATTCAGAAGTGTTTTTGTTACTATTTTCATGGTTATTTGTTTTCTTCATTTGGACGGAATTTTTATTTAATGACAAAAATATTCATTTTAATAACCCAATTTCATGATCTGTTGAATGTACGTTAGTTGGAATTGTGCATTACCATATTAAATCAAAATTGTCTTCATTGTTTTACTTACCTTCTTAATGCATACTGTCAACCATATGATTATGCAGGAAAATACATTTTCAGTAACATCAGTTAAGTGATGTGATATTTAACCATCTGCAATTTAATTTTTTCTCTTATTTTGTATGTACTATGTATGAATTTATTTGCAGCATCTCTGTGTTTTAAATTTATCTCATGATTAAGACATTTATAAGGACTATTGAAGTGTTCAGTAGAATTTGAAAATTATTATTTAAAAATATCTCAATAGTCTCAAAGGTTTTGCATACCATTGAAAAAAGCAACATACTCTTAAAGAAATATAGACATATGCAAATCTGTTATCTACATATCTATAACATACATAGACAGCTGTTAACCTGCTTTCAGACTATAAAATTTTGTTATCTAATTTAAATGCATTTTTTTATAGTCTTAAAATATTAAAAGAGAGTAGAAACCTGTTGTGTGATTTACTGTCAAGTTTGGGAAAAGTTACTATTTATACACAAAATATATATACAAATTTAATAACATGTTTAGGTAGTTATTAAACTCTATAACGTATAAGCAGAAAGTTTAAGAACAAGTGAATGTCAAGAATCACTCATGATTATAAAATTTATCCTTAAAAATAATTTCAGTGTTAATAATAGAAAATTGTAGTTAAATATATAAACTTTGCAACAAGAAAATAAAATTAGTAAAAATATAAATATTAATTCTTACCAGTGGGGGAAGGTGTTGGGCTTTGCCCTGCAAAGAAGAAACAAAAATCTCTTAGAAAATTTCAAATTTCATTCATATTAATGTAAACATATATTAGATTTTTATATGTACCTCAAGTCTATGATAGAACATTCACCAAGTGGCAATTTTCAGTAGCTTTTACCCTAATGAAACTATATTTCCTCTCTTAGTACCATGTTTACAAAGCCCAAATATATCAAAATTATGTTATTTATTTTTTGAATCCCCAGGCTAAATCAGAAACATAACAGACTAAAGGATCACTATTGGGATTAATTTCAAGCCTGCAAAAGACTTTTGAAAAACTTTTGAAACTTTTTTTTCCCAAATGCATTATTTATTTAGATAATGATGATTAATTGAGCACCTATTTTGTGCTAGACATTATGCCACATGCTAGGGATATAATATGACCAACATATAAAAATTCCCTGCCCTCAATGAGCTCAATTTAGTGTGAGATATAAACAAAAACAATCAATCAATACAGTGTGATGACAGGTGATACAGAATGTGCTAAAGGAGAACATAACAGGATCATCTTATTTATATTTCCAGAGTTGGTGGTTGGCTGGTAAAGGAGTTGATACAGAGGGTTTCTTGGATGTATTTAAGCTACAACCTAAAGGATTGCATATAGCTAGCTTGGTCCCAGAAGAATAAGAAGCTGGGATTTATCTTACAGGCTTTAGATATCCATTAAAGGGATGTCTTTAAAGGGAGGCCTAAAGGAGAAACATTTGAATTTTAGATCAACCTTTCAGGAAATGGAAAATGGATTATTAAAGAGCAAAGGTGGGGGCAGGAAAATCAGGAGACCAAAACCAAAGCAAAACAGACAGAGATGATGTCCTACGTAGGAAGAGTATACCCCAAAAGAAAGGTTGGGGGAAAAGGACCTATGAAACACTCAAGAATCACCAAGACTTTGTAAATCCTTTCAAGTGAGAATAAAGGAGAAAGAGTAATAAGGAAAATATCTAGATTGATAGTTTAACATGCTAGTGAGTTATAGTTTCACTGAACTTGAGAGTAATAAACAGTGAGTAGAGAGGTGAATCAGAATTTGCTTGAGATTTCATGTGAAAATGTATAATAGCATTTGAATATAGAGGTTTGTAGCTCATGACATACATCTGGGCTGATGCTATAGATCAGCATATAGATACATTTTGCAGCTACAGAGGTGAAGGAGATCACCGAACTACATAAAAGAGAAGTGTCCAGGATAGAATCCTGAAGTTCAGTGAATATTAAGGAGAGAGCCAGCATAGGTAATCAAATTTTCCAAGTAAGAGGAAAACTGTAGCAAACAAGAATAAAGAGTAGAGGGTGTTTCGAGAAGGAAATGGTTGAAGTCAAATAATATGGGGATTCACATGCAGGATAAACATGGTGCATTAACATGGGTCAACTGGATTTATCATCTGGGTTTGTGGAAATGTTGAAAAGAGCAGCTTTCTTGGCATGATGGGAACTAGATTCAGTCTACAGTGAAGTGCAATGTTTTCATCCCTCATCTTAGTAAATGCCTATTTAAAAGATTGTAAAGTTCTTTTCCAAATGACTGTAAACTCAGGTTGTTAAAGAGAATCAGAGATCAGATGGGAAAGTGAATTAGCTGGTACTTAAGGTGACTTTCTGCCTTTATATTTTATCTTCTGAGAACAAACTGATGTGAAAACATTTTCTTCCTTCAGAGTTGCCATCCAAGGAGCATCACCCCGTATTCTTCAATGACATTCCCTGGCTTATTCCTTGAAGTAAAATGCATTTTTGATATATATATTTTTATATCATTGATGGGTGATACATAATTATTAACATAATGACTTTCTTGTTTTCTCATTACATTTCTCTTTTTCTTAATAATTCATACTTAAATATTGTTTTTAATTGATATTGTTTGTACTTTTGTCCCTTTTCTTATCTAGTTAGCTTTTATCTTTCTGTTTCATGTAAACTATTGTTATGTTTATGTTCCCATTAACAGCATTCCGCTCTCCTTATTTGTTCTTATTTCCTTGTAAATTACAGTCTTAGAATTGTGTTGATTTGCAAAAGAGGTAATAAGAAAAAAATATTAGTATAGCAATAACTAATAGCTCTCATGTTTGAAGTGAAAGGAAAAGTGTCCTTCATTGTTTGTGAAGAACAAAACATATCACCAAATTTAAAATATTCAAATTGTTTTTGAGTGTGTGAACATACTTTATACAACACATATCTCTTCTTTATCTGAGAAATACATGAGCTCTTACATATCTAAAATTAGGTTGATATGCCCCTTCTCATGCAAGCACCTCATTCCTTGGAACTTGAAACAAGTTAATTTAGTTCACTTAGGTTCAAGAAACATACATTGTTTTGCTGGTATGCTGTTGGAGACTAGGTTCAAACATGATAAAAGCATGACCCTTGCCCTGGATAAGCTTATAACCCATAAAACACATATATCTAGTCATCTGCAATGACATTTTAGTCATGGATACACCTGATTAAGACTAATAATCAAAATTTCTCGCATCAACATCAGCATGAATCACATAATAAGATGAGGAAGAGGAGGAGAAGAAAGAGAAATAGCTGTAGCAAAGAGTCTTGTGTATAAGAAGTGATTGATAAGTAATTGCTGGATTCTTTTAAGCATGAGTAAGTGCAAAGGAGAAATCAAACAGATCTGATGATAACAGCTTTAGGAGAAGAGCCAAGGAGCAAGCACTGTAGGCCTTGAAAAGGAGCTTGAACTTTTTCCTCAGAATGACGGAAGCCATTGGATCAGTTAATACAGAGGAGAAATCAGAAAGCAAATTTGATGACAGAGAAAAGAGAAATCTTAATGTTACCTGCACCACTAATTCCACAGACCCCTATATTCTGTTGTTCTGATTTACTACTTTGTTGTCACCAAAATGTGTAGCACCAACTATAGATAGAGTTTCATAAAAGAAAATTATAATTCATCATCTGTTTACCACAGAAATGAGAAGAAAAATGCTGGGACACTATGTGAAGCTATTTGTTTTTTAACAAAAGAACTGTGAATGCCTGAGTAAATATACTAGAACTGTTTCCAACCAGTACACTATTCATCAGACTACGTATATGTTCCATGTCTCAGAGAGATTAATAAACTTCCAAGTGGTCCAAAGGCAATACGTTTTTTAAAAGAAATACATGATGTATATTATTTTAATCTAACTTCTGAAAAGAAGGACAAGAGGTAAATTACCAAAACGGAGAAGACTGTTTCTAATGATTTACTTTTTTAAAGAATAATTTAGAAATAATATTTTATTGTTATTAATTGTTAATATTTATTGAGTGTTTACTGGGTGCCAGGCACTATACTAAGTCTTTTGCTTATGTTTTCTTTCTTAAGCACCACAAAAACCCTAAGAAGCTTAGAAAAGTCAAGTGTCTTGGCCAAGTTCACAAGGCCAGTCTAGTATATGTGAGCCAGACTTGAACCTGAGCCTGTCTGACTTTACAGGCCATGCTCTCATTCATCAGGCGTCCCCTTTTCCCATCAACTTGTCCTTACAGCCTTTCCTCTTCATATGAAATTTTAAGCATGAGAATTCTTTTACAGAAGGTGTTTATTAAAAACTCATGAGCTAAGTAAAAATGCATCTTAATCATAATTTGGCTGCAAGTAAATTACTAGTAGTGCTACAAATGCTAAAATAACCTTGACCCTAAAAATAGATATGCAGATTAAATCACAATGTGCTGAGTGAATGCTCTATAATGGTACAAACAAATATTAGAGAAAATTTAGAGGTGTGTCAAGTTAATTTATTACAGAATACTATTTTGACAGGAAAGTCAACCAAACTACACTAATATCAAGCACAATTATTAAAATTTACAGACCTTTTGTTTAGATGTTAAGAGGTTTCTGGAGCTAGAGGACAGAATAATGGGCATACATATACATTTTTTTCTGATCTCATCATCGCTCCATATTCAAAATTTCCTCGAATCTTTTCATCTTTAATGCAGCAAAATTTAATATCCTGGAAAACAGTATAATATCTAAAGAGCCAACATTTTCCTTTCTTCTATGTTCATGCTTACTTCCCATAAAGGCCTCTTGAATTGAATATGTGTTTGCTTGTACACTGATTTATCACTGGATATGATTCTAAATTCCTCCACTGAGTGATTTTTAGGTGACACTAAAACATTGTAATCTATGTTTTATTTCATTTTTATATACTATTTCAAATATGTGCGTGCACACACACACAGACACACACACACACACACACCCCACACACCATTTTATCTTTTTAAAAGAAAATTCCAAGACTTCAGCATCACTGTTTAGACTTAGTGTAAGACTCAACTTGCTTGTTCTCATGGTCATAAAATCCCTATAAACAGATTTTTAGTTTTGGTAACACTTTTAGTCAACATGATAAATGACATAAAAATGTTTTCGTGCCTGAAAAAAACACATAGAATCTATTTAAAATAAAAATTTTAAATTAAAAACTACTTTAAAATTTAAGCCAATGCCCCTAAGGAAATAAGGTATGCACTAGAGTGATGCAACTTAAAGCAACATATCAATTTTAATAAGCCATGTGCACTAGATTACATAAATCTATTTTTCAGTCTTTTTAATGTTAAACATTTTACCAGTCTTAAAGTAGGAACACGCTAAATGTGACCTATATAAAATAGCTTAGTTAAAACACCTACGTAACATCTAAAGGACATTCCCCACACCCCGCCCCCCCAGTCATCTAATGATTTTTACATCAACGTTAGCAGAACACTAACAAATACTTTGGTGGAGAATGCCTTTATATATGAAACAAGGTAGGGAGTAGGTGAAGGTACTTAACTATTTAGAGAAAACTATAAAACCAAATATCTGCAATAATTTATTAATTCTCTATCATATTTTAATTCTTCCTAAATTACATGAGCAATGACTTCAATTGTCTGTTGCACTTCATATGTGCAAACATTATTAAACATTACCAAAATCATAGATAGAAGCCACTGTGCTGAATCTTCACTGATAGAAAAAAAAGACCTGATGAGATTGGTTGTGGCCAGGTGCAATGGTTCACACCTGTAATCCCAGAACTTTGGGAGGGAGAGGCAGCTGGATCGCTTGAACCAAGCAATCCAGTCTGGGAAACATGCAAAACCTCGTCTCTACTTAAAATACAAAAATTATCCGGGTAGGGTGGTGCACACCTATAGTCCCAGCTACTTGGGAGGCTACGCCCATGAGTGTGTGTTGAGGCTGTAGTGAGATGTGATGGTGCCACTGTACTCCAGCCTGGGTGACAGGGTGAGACCCTGACTCAAAAACAACAACAACAACAACAACAACAAAAGATTGGTTGTATAACATATTTAACTACTTCATGACCTATCCATTTAGACTGGAGTATATGGTTAAATATTACTGTGCTTGTCCAATGCAAAACAAATGAACTGATGTAGTTACCTAAGTTGTTTTATGTATGTAGACAGCCTTGTACTCTACCCTATTTCCTGTATTACTTAAAAGCAACAATATATTCTTAGTGGAGTCAAATAGATCTGGGAAAAGCAAACAAAATTTTTGCATAAAGTATTTTATAACCAGTGCACAATAAATATTTAATATTTGGAGATTGTTTAATACAAATTACACTACAATATATGTAAACATTCTTTATGAACAATACTGGGAAAGTGTGGAAAATAGGTAAAGCAAAATATGTGACATAGCAATGGAAATTAAGAGGGCACATGTGTAGGTGTGTGACAATAAAGAGAAGGCATCACTATTTCTCAAAGTAAGAACTGCATTGAGCTTTCTCTCAAATTCTATAAACACATCAAATAAATATAAAATAAAACACAGTAATATATCTAGTGTTCCACATATTACAGTTACTACATTCTACACTTTGACTTTTATCTTCTAGGGATGAAATTTTCTACATTTTTTAAAACTTAAATGTCTTGTGTTTTCATTATTTAGTCAAAGGAGTATTTAGTAATATTTCAGTAGGTGGCACCATAGCACTAAAAAACTGTAAATTATCTAAGAGCTCTTTTTCCCATTATAATCCTGTTGTGAATCACCAATGGAATTGACTAGATACATTAAACAGATGAAAATGTAGATAACAGAACACTTGATCTTCAAAGCTGTGTTATTCTAACACATGTATTGTTACTGAATTTACCTTTCCCAATATGTTTCTTTTACAACTCAAAATGTTTAAATGATCACAAATCAAAGTTACCTTGAAGTCACACCCCTAAGTCCCTGATCAGAGATTTCAGCAAAAACTAGGAATCAATTTGAGTGAAAACGGCATTTCAAAAGACATACTTGGGCTTTAAATATCACCCGTTCTCCCTCCCCGCTAAAAAAAAAAGAAAAAAAAATGGGATGCTATTTCCTAGGGAATTTAAACCTGTCTAGTTCTGCAAATCTGGGAAAAGTACAAGGGCAGAAGGGTAAAATAGAATAGATTAAATAAATACTTATTCTCAGCATCTGCCCTAAAATGAATGATAGCATGTTTTGAAGGTTGAGAATGCATACTTGACCTCCATAAACATAAAGCCTGTACAAAAGTGGAAAAAAGCAAATCAAGACAAAAAATAAGGGTCAGCTAAAACAGATATGTATGGCTTTCCTTTCTTAGCAATGCATGATAATAATAAAGTGCACAATAAAAATAAGAGAATTGCACTTTTTTTATGCTAGAAATCTGCTATATGGTCCACAGACAATAAATCTAACAAATCATATTAAATTATTAAGTATTTATGGAGTAAGCACTCTGGGCAGCGACAAGCCAGGTATTATGATTTCAGAGAACCACAGGAAACAGTCTTTTCTACCCTCCATTAGCTTATCAGTAAATATAATAATGATGGCAACAGTTTACTGAAATGTTATGTAGCAGACACTATGCACACCTCTTTATATAATATATATGTATTTTTTTTCTTTTAAGCATCCCAGTAAGCCAATGAGTTAGCATTATTTATCCTTTTTTATAGGGAATGAAACTGGGACCTAAAAGAGTTTAGTAAATTGCTCACAGGCACACACGAGGAAAGTGCTAGATTTGAAATAGTGTCTATTTAATAATTTTCTTATTCTTTATGTAGACGTTATGTTAAAATATTGGGTATATTAATATTATTTTTGGAATCTCATGAGTAAAGGACTTTCTGCTTATCATCAGAAAATAATTCCAAAGATTTCTACTCAGACAGAAGCAAAGGATTTTAGTGATTATTGACATGCAGTTCATTTGATATATAAGGAAACTAAGACTCAGTGAGTGTAGTGCCTTTCTGATTTCATTCAATCTAGTTAAAGCACATGAATTTATGAGCTCCACCAATGTCCAAAGAATTTCAACATCCCTTTATTGAGGCCTTTTATTAAATACAAATGGACATCCAAGAAACACTAGAACAAAGCCTCTAATAAGAAAGAAAGATAGAGCTCAAATAAACAAAAGAGGCACTTGGGAGAATGAGGCAATGCAAGGAGCAAAAGAGAGGATAACCAACTACAATTCATATTTTCAGAAATGAGAAAACATTGCACCCATGAACAAAGAGCAAGAGGTTATAAAAAGCAACATCTCAAGATCAAGAGAAGAAGTCAATAGATACTGGCAAAAATCTTTTTTTTTGTTTTAAAGAAACAGCACTACAATAAAAGATAACATTTAAAAATCACAAAATATCAAGGGAGGGGAGAGTCGTGGGAGCAAAAGACTGTTCTTACTTACTCTAGGCCTTATGGTACTATTTAAACTTTCAAATTATATACACACTTTTAAATAATAATGCAAATAATAAAGAAAAATATCAGTATGTAAAGCAGTATTGAGGATAAAGAAGGCAAATTTTTGTGGCCATGAGAGGAATAAAATCAAATAATTAAAAAATTTTAAAGATAGCAACCATATCTAGCTGTCTCCCAATGACTTATGGTGTCCAATATTTACAATAATGTTTTTTGCTTGTGAATACATATGACTTTGCAAACACACACCTCAAAACTAGGAATGCATTTGTAGGTATTTTATATTTGGTTTAAAACATCATGTTATATATTTCAGGCATGTTGATTAACGAAACAATTAATGACAAAAAAATTAATAAAGGCTACTAGATAACCATTTAAGAACAATCAGTTACACTGCTTTTTTTCTGTCTTAAACTATTTATCTACAAGTCAGGGGGAAAATTTTATCGCTTCCTGTGCAATGATGGTCAAATTGAAGTCTTTGATTTAGATTTGTGTGCCTTTAAATGTCCCATAGTCAAATTTGTTTCAGAAGTAATTCATGCTACATGCCCTTTTGAGATATTTATAAAGTGTGTTAATATATTAAAAGCATAGAAACTTATGTCACTTCGTTTAGCTCAAGATCTCCTAAAAGTATTTGCCACAAACCCATTTTTTTCCCATGGACATACTATAGGACATTTGTACAATGTAACTGCAATGTTTCTGAGAACATAGTTTACAAAATTCTGGCTTGTTATCAGTTATGTATATTTATGTGTGTGTAACCAGTATTATTATCCTGAGGAAGAAAAAATATCAATCCTTTATTTGTATTAATCCTGACTGGGAATTAGATTAAAGGTGACTATTTCTGGGCTCCAGCGCTGGAAAATCTGATTTAGTAGGTTTGTGGGGTAACGTGATCTGTGCACTGGTATTTTCTTAAAGCTCTGATGGTGATTATGATGGAAACAAGGGTTAAGAACAACTGAGAAAGATGCTTCCTTACCCATATTCTCTTTTTAAACATTTTCCAGAATAGGTTTGTTCCCATATTAATTATCTTTTTGCTTCTTATGAAAATGTCTGTTTTCATTTACCTAAATCCAGGGATATATACCTGATTTATGCAATATACTTCAGATAGCAAAAACCATTTAATTATATTAATCCCTTAGTAAGTGTATGTTTTTGTAGCTCTTTGCTTCCTCTAGGATAGGTTACGATCATCATTAAAGAACAAAGAATCATCAAAAGATGTTTGCATAAGTGGTGAAATCTTTTATTAGTGTATTTGGTGCTATCAACAGTGTTTACTATTTAATAAGCGGGTACTATGTGAATGGCACTGTCCTAAATACTGTTACATATTATTTTATCTAATCATTATAGAAATCCTACAAAGTAGATGGTATTCTCTTCTTTTCACAGATGAAAGCTCAAAATCATAAAAACGTGTATGCAAGGCTAAATAAAGAACTTGTAGCAAAATGAGTCTAGATTTAAATGCAGATCTGTCTGACTGTAAAAACCCCCATGCTTGTTCAACTGCATTGCACTGTAAGGAAAAAATATTTAATGCTAAATCCAGTATTTGTGCTAAAGAGCTATTAGGGACTCAAAAATGAGTAAATATTATGTATAACCATCAAAATGGGATTCAGAGTACCACACATTAAAACTTATTGTTAAAAAGTGTAAATTGCTGGACAATGACTACAAAAGGGGTAGATTCTTATTTTTCAGAAAAATGGGAAGAAAAGTGAACAGGCCTATGCCTAACAAAAATGGTAGCATGAACTTGTCTGTCCTTCAGTATTTTTACCCAAATCTTTAAGGAAGGAAAAATAGTAGAACATGCAAAAAAAAGTTATGATTATATTATGTCTGTACTTTGAAACAAAGGAAAACATACAAAAGCCTTTGCTGATCAACCTATACCTTGTAAAAGAAGTGGGGTGAGGGAAAGAATAGGTAAATGAAGCTCCCCATAGAAAATAAACAGTGCTAGGACAGTGAGTGTCTGTGAATTTAATCTAGTTATGTAGAAACGTGTTTACAGCACCAACCACAACCCTTTCTAAATGAGCCAGGAGATGAATTAAAATTGTACTTTTTTTTGTGAACTAACTACAATATAATAAAAAAAAGCAGAAAATAAATGCTAGATTATAGGGAGTCCACCTAATAGAAACTAATCTCCCATCTCACAAACAGAATAAAATGTCTGCTGAGGCTGCACAAAAGCCTCCCACTCCTAAAGCTGAGGACAATAAAAGCAAAGGCTGATAAATGCACTGCTTATTTCTTCTTATTTCCCTTTAATGAAAACTCTGAACAGAAACACTTGGCTTACTTTCAAAATCATTAAAGGAACCCAGGCATAATGGGAAAAGCTACACTTTCAAATAGAAGAGGTTTTCAATGTGTTGTTCTCATAAGACTGCTGTTTGCACAGCTAAAAGCTAACAGCAGTGTCTTTACTGCTCTTGTGGTTTCTTCTCTTCGGTGTACTTCTGTTTTTCTTATTCTGAGTCTTTATAGGAAAGGAAGAGGCGCAGCTCATGCGGTTAAGCACACAGGCGCTACCAAATGGTGCAATAGGTTGCCATAGCACCAGCATAATCAGCCCTATCTCGGGGTTAAAACCACAACTTCTCTAGTTGACGTTGAAGCTGCCTGACTATACATTTAACTGCTACAAAATGCTGAATTTCAGATTGATTTGTGTTTGCTTCAATAAAAATGTATTTCAAAAGTAAGGTTAGTTTTATTATGTGATTTATTTCAGAAGCACTTCATTTTGAAAAGCACTCACAAATGATATTTTAATGACAAAAATAAGTTAAACCTAATATTATATTTAAAAACATAAAAAGTCACCATTGATTTGGCCAGCAACTAAGCTTTATTAATTCATTACATTATGCAACTTGGAGAAAATAGATCACAAAGAAAAAAGTAAGACAAAATGTTTATTTGTAAATAGAACTCACATTCCTTTACCACTAGATAATGAAATGATAAAATATAGTCTAGGCAAGGATATTTCCTATTTGTTCAGCAACACTATCACCACATATGAAATACGACCCTACCAGTAGGAAACATCACATTGCACCCTTTGCAAGCAAATGCACTGAAGTAAGTTGAATGGCTCCTTAAATACACACTTGATAGTCTCAAGAAAGATAATGCCTGAAAAAACAGACATGTGTAGAAACATTTTGCTGCCTTGTCACATTCCCTGATACCCTGCAGCTCTAGTTGGTAACCATTTTCCATGCTGTATATTCCTATCAATTGTCTTATGTTTTGACCAAATAATTATTTCATAAGATAGAAAATATTAAAATAATATATTAACATTCGTAAATAATAAATCCTGAAAAGGATCATGAGATCCTTTTCATTTAACTTCTTTGGGAAAATTCATATTGGGCCAGCTCTTCATCCCTTTGTACATCAGAAAATGGTTTCTCTATCTTTAGTAAAGAAGGAACATTTACCGAATACCTACTATTTGATACATTGTCTTATACAATCCTCATAATATCTCTATGTGATAAGCATTATTATTCTTGTTTTATAAAGGACAAAAGGAAGACACAGCTGGTTTAAATATATTGCTTCGAATATAGAGTAACAGTGTAAAAACTCAATCCCAGGTCTACTAGAATCCAAAGCTCCTGCATTTTCTCCTAACTCCATAATGCTGCCTCCTGGGAATAGAGGATTCAGAGCATCTATTTCACATCATTCTCCTGAATTTCGGTACACAGTCCTTGAATTCCTCCTATCTGTGGTCTGTGGCTTCCTTTTCCTTTCCATTGCCTTTACCCTGGTCCAGGTACTTATCATGTCCTATTTCAATAATGTTTATACTCAGTTTCTAAACTGACAACTTCCTCCATCCCTTCCCCATGCATGCTAGATACCGCCACATTGATCTGCTTGTAAAATGCACTGATGTGTCTCTTTCCTGTTAAAATATTTTAGTAGGAGATTCCAAAGTCTTTACGATTCACTTTACATCAATTCCTCTGAACTTTATATAACTTTACATCATTCCTCTTCAGTTAAAAGGAGATTGTTGTATCTATTTTTTTTTTTTTTTCTGAGAGAGTTTTGCTCTGTGGCCCAGGCTGGAGTGCCGTGGCACTATCTCAGCTCACTGCAACCTCCGCCTGCCGGGTTCACGCGGTTCTCCTGCCTCAGCCTCCTGAGTATATGGGATTACAAACATGCGCCACTACACCCGGCTAATATTTGTATTTTCAGTAGAGACGGGGCTTCACCATGTTGTCCAGGCTGGTCTCGAACTCCGTCCTTAGGTAATCCGCCTGCCTCGGCCTCCCAATGTTGTGGCTATTAAACAAGACAGTTTGTGAAGCCTTTAATAATATTTTTAAAATCCTATAAATGAGCCCCGGCTTCCCTGGCTAGTTTTCAGAGGCTGCCGAGTCGCCGCTGCGCCTGCGCCTTGCCTAGTGGCACTCCCAGCTGCGCGCTGCGTTCTTGCACAGCCATGCCAGGGACCTCAGCAAGCGGTCCAGGCCCTTGAGCCTGCAGGAAGTGGACGGGCAGCCGCAGCACTCGCTGCATGTCGCCTACGCCAGGGCGACGGTGGACGAGCTGGGCAAAGTGCTGACGCCCACCTAGGTTAACAGACCCACCAGCATTTCATGGGATGATCTTGAGTCAAGGAAACTCTACACCTTGGTCCTAACAGACCCGGACGCTCCCGGCAGGAAGAAGCCCCAATACACTGAATGGCGTCATTTCCTGGTGGTCAACATGAAGGGTAATGACGTTAGCAGTGGCCCAGTCATCTCCATTACGTGGGCTCGGGCCTCCGGAGGGCACAGATCTCCACCGCTATGTCTGGCTGGTTTACAAACAGGACAGGCTGCTGAAGTGTGACGAGCCCATCCTCAGCAATGGATCTGGAGGCCACAGTGGCAAATTCAAAATGGCATCCTTCTGTCAAAAGTTCGAGCTTGGCCGGGCAAGGTGGCTCACTCCTGTAATCCCAGCACTTTGGGAGGCTGGGGCGGGTGGATCACGGGGGCGGGTGGATCACGAGGTCAGGAAATCAAGACCATGCTGGCCAACATGGTAAAACCCCGTCTCTACTAAAAATACAAAAATACAAAAAAAAAAAAAAAAAAAATAGCTGGGCGTGGTGGCACGGCTTTAGTCCCAGCTACTCGGGAGGCTGAAGCAGGAGAATTGCTTGAACCCGGGAGGCAGAGGTTGCAGTGAGGCGAGATCAGGCCACTGCACTCCAGCCTGGCGACAAGGCGAGACTCCGTCTCAAAAAAAAAAAAAAAAAAGTACGAGCTCGTGCTCGTGGCCCCAGTGGCCAGAAAGCGTTACCAGGCTGAGTGGGACGACTATGTGCCCAAACTGCAGGAGCAGCTGTCTGGGAAGTAGGGGGCAGCTCAGGGACCTGAACTGTCCCAGAGGCCCCAAGCCGTGTTCTCCAGTTCAGTGTTGCATGTATAATAGATTTCTCCTCTTCCGGCTCCCCTTTGCACATGCAAGACCTGAGCAGTCAGATGGTTTAGGGTAACTTTTCCTGCTGCCTGGCCTTTATAATTCTAGTCACTCACTCACTCACTCTGGTTTATGTTTTGATCAAATTGGAACTCTATTTTCAGGAATATTCTGGTACTGTGATGGGGTCATCAAATTAATATGAAAATAGCAATCCAGAGTTTAAAGAAGAAAAAACTGGGGGGGAAAAAAAGACCAGGCCCACAGTAATAGAGCAAAGCATCAAAGAATCTTTAAGGGAGGTTACAAAAAAAAAAAGAAAAAGAAAAAGGATTTGTCACCTCTCTGCCTTTGTGATCCTAATACCAGAATTGTACGCAGCGTGTTTTTATGGTGCTGTCGCTCACCTAGACAACCAGAGGCTGGCTGGCATGGAGGCTAAACCCCAACACGGTGCATCTCAGATGCCTTAATAGGCGTCAGTATCTCGCTCTGGTGCCTTTAAAAAGCAATCCTGGAAAAAGCATTAGGGAGAGTGGCTTTGCTTTTGTTGGGGCATGGCCATCTAGACCGGCAGCAGTGCTCATTGACAGCTTATTAAGAATCCTTACAACTGTGGTTGTTAAATTGATAGCTCTTCATGGGGGTAAGAAAAGCTGATCTGGAGTTGCTGAATGTTGGGTTAATTCTGCTGTTTGCTTATAATTGAATAAAAATAGAAACGTTGAGTGAACAACATCAAAAAGTTCTATAAATGGTAGTCATTATTGTTACCACCATCTGGATTATCACCTTCAGTCATTTTGACTTTTTAATTTGATTTGTCCTTCTTAAAGGCACTGGTGAAATCAGCATCCCTTGTATCCTACACAGTAGTTAGTTTATAGAAGAACAATAAACATTTTTGGATTTACTCTTGCTATAGTTTGTGCCTATGGTTCCACAGTAAAAATACTTTGAGCAATATAATTTTGAAACTCACTGTAAGATATGTGTAATTTCTCATTTCATAAGATGGTATTGCATTTCCTCTTGGCACTTTCATGTGCTTTCGAATTTTCATATGTATCTATATTTATGTTCATACAATAAAGAACAAAATGTAAAACTGTACCTGGAAATATACATCCCTGTGTGGAAAAAAAAAAGCTGGACTTTATATTCTCCTCGGAATGACCTAGTTTTGAATCCTAGCTCAGCCAAGTAAGGTCTTGTACAGGTTAAATGATATTTCCGAGGTTTAGTCTCCTTGTTTTTAGAGCCATAATCATAAAATCTAGTTTATATATGAGTTGATATGAGGATTAGACATAGTAATACATGCAGGAGGCTTGGTAAAATGGATAGCAGCTTGTGAGTAGCTGAGAAAAATTTGAATCCACACAGTATTGTTTAGATTTAATTATTTTGATCATACTATAGCCACATTACAATGTGTAAGTGCAATAGTTTCCTACTTTCTATGGAAGCAGGGAGGAAGAATGCTTACCCTATTCTTAGGGTAATCATGGAAGACTCCCCCAAAATAAGTAATGTCTAAGTTAAGAGGGATATGTTTGAGTTAGGTAGGAAAGGAAGATGATGAGTCTTTTAGAAAAAAAAAAAATAGCAATGTGGCCCAACATTGAGAATCTAGTACATTTCAGAAAGTAAAAGTTGTTCTTCCTGGCTGAAAAGCAAGATGTAAGGTAGAGGGGTGCTAGAAATCTTTCTGGAAAATAAATGTGACACTGATAATGAAGGCCCTCTCTCACAAACTGAGAAGTTTTAACATTATCCCCAGGTGACAGGAATTATTATAGAGCTTTCAGTAGGTGATTAATCCCATTTGTGGAATGCAGAGTGGAACTTAGGAATGCAAGGTTGGAGATGAGGCTATGTATTAGCAAGCTGTAAAGTGCTTTTAGAATTTAAAATGGATAGCAGGCCCACGGGTAATGTTGGATAAATGTTCATTACAGTTAACACCAGTCTATCCTTCTGCTTTTTTCACTCAGTGACCATCAATGGTAGTAATTTTCAAAAGAGATTCAGAAATCCAGTTATAGATAAAACTAATTTAAGAGGTTATAAGGACTGAGCCATCCATTCTCTGAATCAGGACACAAAATCTTATTTTATTGTTAATTATGAATAGGGTAAGAATCTAAATATGCCTACCCTCTTGACCTTGATTTCTGACTTCTACATAAATCTTCTATGATCATGCAACTTATACTGAGCAAAGAAGAAAAGAAATCTGAGTTATGCTCCCAGATTACAGTATTTAGTGTGCCCCTTAAGTTGAATATGCTTATCTCATTCAATGCTGCACTTTATCGTATTCCTTTTGCACTTCCCCTTGTTCCTTGGAGGAATTTAAAGAAATGTTATCAAAAGCAAGGCTTATGAGTGGCCAACTCTCAAAAAGATACCAACTCAAAATAAAGATACCCACTCTCAAGAAGTGATTTTCCAATGACCTGTCACCTGTGATTCTATCTCTATGCAAGGCAATGGGAATGACTACTCCCCCTCCCCTGGGTTCTGAATGCCAGCCCTCACTTCACTAAACAGCTCAGAACAAATCCAGAGCCATGCAAGTCTCAGAAACCCATTTTCTTGGCATTCATCCAGAAAAGTACTTCAGAAACCCCTCACTGACTGATACAGATCTACCATCTGTTTCTTAAGTTTAACAATTGTACAAAGAAAGTTTTTCACAGTTGGATGAAAAAAAGACATGGTCTCTTTCAAGTTCGTATTCAATTTACTATTCCTCCTGTTGATTGGCTGATTCCCAAATGTCAAAAGAACACCTAATGCTTATGTTGAATCTATGCTAAACTAGTCACCATTTTAAAACTCAGAAGCATGGTTCCTAAAGATTGTGGCGTCCAATACTACCTTCGGCATTCATACAGCGCATTAATACTCCATGTATTGAATTAAATAAAACTGGCTTGACTTAGTTATTAAAACAACAACAACTTTTACAAGTCTTTTAGCACATTTGGAGAGTAGGTCTAAGTAAAATTATTCATTATTGGTCTGGTTTTCATTTCAAACATTTATTTTACTGAGTTTTAAACTTAATGCAAACATTTTAATTCCAGATAGCATCCAGAGCTTCGATCTTGAGGTACAGTCTAAGGTAGGAATGATATTTCGGTCTTTGACACAGTTCTACAATAATGCTTCCAATATTCTCTAGTTATCTTTTTAAATGAAATTAGTAGATACAACAGAAATTACTTATCCCTTCCGAGAATATAGCCCCTGACCTGATAAAGCTAGATATTAGGAAGAAGATGCTTGCCTTTCTTTTATAATGAGAAACTCTTCCAGGGAAAGTTGACTTTATGTTCTCAAGTGATCAGTTTACCAGCATACTTTTATAATTCATACCCAATTTACAGAGATATAAAAATAGTCTTACGTCTCATGTATGATGAAATTCAGTTCTTGACACAGTATGTCATTTCATGGCATAAAATAAAGAGCACATTTGGGTTGATCATTCTATGGGAAACCTTAGGGGAGGCTTATAGATTTATCACTTTTTGCATTATTTTGTCTCTTTATGATGATTTAATCCAATCAAACCTAGTCAGGGGGAAGATCAAGCTAAAATTAGATGGATTCTTATTATTAATGAGATATTATCATTGGCATATGCTTTTTAAAAGAATAAAAGCTAAATATTAGTAATGAAGTAAAGATAAAGCACATTTAATGAGAAAGTTTTGGGAATTTTTTCTATAATAAATACATTTTATTGTCTATTACCTCCCTCAACAAACTATATTTTCTTTTAAATTTAGATGTTTGCTTCTCATCAACATTAATTCCATGTTGAAAGAATACAATTATTATTCTAGTAAAATGTTTAGAACTGGGAAAAATAGAGTCATTTTTTTCTTTCAAATTCTTAAAATCAGGGCTTTGGATCAAATAAACTTTTTAGTTAGGTGAAATTCACATGCTATTTTACTGTGAATAACATCTCAGAGGATCATTAAACTAACAGAGGCAATGAACAGTCTTCAAAAGAAAAAAGACAGAAAACCGTCACAAATCCTAGGGGACTAAAGATGCATAAGAAATAAATGCAACATGAGGTCCTAGATTGGATGCTGTAGCAGGAAAAGAACAATATTGGAAAAATGGGCAAAATTCAAATGAAAGCTGTAATTTGGTTAATAGCATTGTACCCATGGTTACTTCTTAGTTTTAACAAATGTAACCTTGGCAAATGTTAATATTAGAGGAAGCCAAATGAAGAGCAAATGGGGACTTTCCTTACTATCTTTGCAACTTTTCTGTAAATCTAAAATTATTCCCAAATTGAAAGCTTATTTTTAAAAGGTTTGTTTGTAACTAGTTCAGAGAAAGATGAAGCAAAGCATAGCATAGATTCATTTTCTTTCATTTTTAAATTGAGTGTTTTTGTGATTGGGACATTTTCATACCACATCTTATAAATGTTTGCAATCATAGCCCCAGTTATTATGTTATAATTATATGTTATTATATATGTTATATATTATGTTATATATATAAAATATATATGCTATATATATTATTATATGTTATTATTGTACAGTCATAATGCAGATAGTGAAGGCTACCATTACTAAAAAGGCAATGTTATCCATCCTGACATTGTAAAATTGTAAAATTGTAAATTTTCACAATTGTAAAATTTCACATTTAAAAAATATAATAAAGCTTACCTACCTATCTACTTAATACTTGAAACTGCTTTATAAAATTCTCACTCACTAGTTGTGAATTTATTGTTAAATGCCTTCATTGGACATGATCTCATGAGTCTCTGTGACTGGACAGCATTCCTTATCCAACTGAAGTGATGAGCATCAGATGCCGCTCCAAGTGTCGTAAAAAGGAGGCACTACCTCTAAGCCAAAGAGGCTGGGTCATTCTACTGCATATGAGGAACAAATGCAACTACAACAAAGGTCTTCATTTTAAGAAGATAAATCTGGGTTTAGTCAAAATACATAAGATAATTTGTTTGGAAAACTTTTTGACTGCTGCTTTATGCTGTACAAAATAAACAACAAAAGTCTACTAAGAAGAAGCTTGTTTTTATGGTTTTTAGCCTCTAGATGCATATATAATTCATCCATATGGCAAAAATCATTACATTAAAACAATTTTGGGAGAGAAGTACATTATTAATACTTCAAAATTTCAATTTCTTAAATTTAGATTAGCTTTCTACAACATACAAGCAAAGTTAAGAAAAAAAATCAGAAACCAAAAGGCTTATTCTACCGCATTTCTTGGGAAATTGTTTCACTTTGAGAGTGTATGATTCTTTAATCATTATTCACACCTTCTTTATTTTTCTAAAACATTGTTTTCCATAGTATCACTGGAGGAGCAGTAAAAATGTACTCTTGCATTTTTCTGAATAGTAAACTGATTATGCCTCTGTAATGGAAATAACCAAAACAATATCTTTGAATGTATTGAAAATAAACACTTTCCTCTTCATTTACTCAATAAATGTTTTCAAATGACCATTATTTGACTGAGCATGTACACAGCACTTATTATGTATCATGCGTTATACTAGGTCATATATATATGTAAGTATACCATATACATTAGCTTCCTGAATCATTGTAATAATATGAAGTATGTATAATTATTACCTCTATTTCAGAGAAAAAGAAAGCACAATAAGGTGCAATAAATAACTTGTGTGAGATCATTCAGCTTGTGAGTAGCTGAGAAAAATTTGAATCCACACAGTATTTTTTAATTATTTTGATCAAAATATAGCCACATTACAATGAGTAAGTGCAATAGTTTCCTACTTTCTATGGAAGCAGAGAGAAAGAATGCCTACCCTATTCTTAGGGTAATCATGGAAGACTTCCCCAAAATAAGTAATGTCTAAGTTAAGAGGGATATGTTTGAGTTAGGTGGGAAAGGAAGACGATTAGTCTTTTAGAAAAAAAAAAGCAATGTGGCCCAACACTGAGATTCTAGTACATTTCAGAAAGAAAAAGTTGTTCTTCCTGGCTGAAAAGCAAGATGTAAGGTAGAGGGGTGCTAGATATCTTTCTGGAAAATAAATGTGATGCTGATAATGAAGGCCCTCTTCTACAAACTGAGAAGTTTTAACAATATCCTCAGGTGACAGGAATTATTATAGAGCTTTCAGTAGGTGATTAATCCCATTTGTGGAACACAGAGTGGAACTTAGGAAGCAAGGTTGGAGATGAGGTTATGTATTAGCAGGCTGTAAAATGCTTTTAGAATACAGTTAAAATGGTGCTGGGCACAGTGGGTTGTAATCCCAGCACTTTGGGTAGCCAAGATTGGTAGATCACCAGAGATCAGGAATTCTAGACTAGCCTGGCCAACATGGTGAAACCCCATCTCTACTAAAAATGCAAAAAAATACAAAAAAAAAAAAAATAGCTGGGCATGGTGGCGTGCACCTGTAATCCCAGCTACTTGGGAGACTGAGACAGGAGAGTCGCTTGAACCCTGGAGGTGGAGGTTGCAGGGAGCCCAGATGGCGCCTCTGCACTCCAGCCTGGGCAACAGAGCAAGACTCCGTATTAAACAAAACCAAACCAAACAAAAAACAACAGTTAAAATGGTTTCAGCTACAACTAACAGAAAAAAAAGGAACTCGAACAGAGTAAACAGTAAGGAATTTATTATCTTACAAAACGGAATTAGCTCAATGGTTTGATGATGGTATCAGGACCCAGATTCCTTCCATATTTTTGCTCTGACATCCACAGGGTGTGGGCCTAACTACCCCACTGGTCTCAAAAAGACTAGGTGCCACATTCTCATCAAATATGAACCAGAGACAGGAGAGGGGTATTGTTTCCTTTTGTCTCTTTTTAAGACTGAGGAAAAAGCTTCCCTAAAACTCCTTCACATTTCATTGGTCTTAATTGCAGCACTATCAAAGGGAATGTAGTTACTATGCTTCACTTTGACCAACCCAGATGTAACTTTAGGTTACAGGAAAAAAGCAAAACCCAATGGAATTTTAAGTCATATGGAAAGGCATGAACTGCTAAATAATTAAATACTTACAAAATAATTTTAATGAAGGTCTCATTAGCAAGAAAAATGCAGAGATATGGATGATAACAATCTCAGAGACTACTGCAGAAATGTGAGTGGCCCAAATCAAAGCTGTGGCAATGGAAGCAGAGGTGAATATTTTAAGACATGAAGAATACAGACTTCCTAGCATGTTCTTTGTCAGTCAATGCTGAGTTAAGGGAAAAGGAGAATATGTCCTAGGTTATATTGGCTCAGGCAAGTCTATGGAAGCTGATATAATTCACCAATACAGGAAATATGACAGCAAGGCAAGTTAACAAAAGAAGTTTTTGAGTTCAATAATGTTGAATTTGAGATACCAGTGGGATACTAGTTGGAAGTGTCTAGTGCATAGTTGGAGAAATTGGTCTTTAATACAAAAAAGACAGCAGAACTGGAGCTATAGATGTAGAAGTCACAAATTTATAAAAGACAAATTAAGCAATGGGAGTAGTTGATTTCACCCTAAATGATAGCATCACAGTAGAGGAGACAAAGTTCTAGAATGGAATACATACCAACACCAATAGGTAACAAGGGAATAGAGAAAGAGGAGCCAGATGGCTGAGATAAATAAGAGAACTAGAAGGTAGTTTCATGTTTCATGAAAATTAGGGGAGGACAGGGTTTTGAAAAGAAGGAAGTTGTCAATAGCGTTAAATGCCTCTGAGAGGTGAAGTATAATAAATGCTTTAGCTTGGTCCATTGGGTTTAATTTATTGGAAACAGGGGGGTGAGGGGGGTGATACTGGTGTATGCATGGAAGTTGTTTTTGTGGTGTGCTGGGAGAACAAGCAAGAAAGCAGTAAATGGGTTAGTGAAAAGTGAGAGTGTAGACTGGGAGGCTAGAAAAATTTTTTTTTTTTACATTTCAAAAAATTTAAATTATTTTTAATTGACAAATGATTATGAGTATTTATAAGGTACAATGTGACATTTTGATATATGTATACACTATGAAATGATTAAAGTTTTTGTACATCACCTAAGTATATTTTCCCATATACCTTAAATCATCTTTAGATTACTTATAATACTTAATGCAAAATAAATGCTATGTAAATAGTTGTTATACTGTATTGTCTTTTAAGTTGTATTATTTTTATGATGTATTGTTGTATTTCGTCATTTTTTCCTAATATTTTCAATCCATGGTTGGCTGAATCAGAGGATGCAAAACCCACAAATACAGATGGCCAGCTATATTGTATATTTGAAAATTGCTAAGACAGATTTTAAATATTCACACCACATGAAAAAATCTTTTAAGAAGTTTGTGAAGCAGGAAAGAGCAATAGGGAGTATGAATTAGATAGAGACTTGTAAAGAAAAGTGGGTATTTTTTTTATCTGCTAACTGCACTGCCATTCCAACTTCTCTCAAAATTGTGTTTCGATGATAATATATACAAATAGTTTTGGAGTCTATGGAAGAAATGCTCTAGACTTTGAAAATATAATGTAAATATTTCTGGGGTATATTATATATCAAATCTATTAGAAGATTTAATTTTTAAAATTTTTTGTGTAAGTTATTAATGTGTCCCAAGCTATTTTGTCTTCCTTTTTCTATGTATTTCATCAATGGTGTCTTGTTTTATCACAAATCTTTAAAATCAGAACTAATCACATTTCATATTTAGGATGTTGAATATAGTTTTCATACATAATAAGGTCATATAACAGTGATTAATAATTATAAATATTTCATCATGGAGATTTTTGGCTTCCAGGACTTTCTTTAAAAATGCTAAGGAAAATAAGAAGCAGAAACATTTATATTCAGTACTTAAGGACAAATCTGTAAAGTAGGCCCCAGTCAAGCTATACCAGGTCTATGTTTCACTCATGATCTATTTCACAAAATGTCTATATCACTATAAAAACTCCTGAGATAAGTATAGAAGTTAATACAAAAAAGAAGCTAGTAATACTTACATGCTTCATTTGGCATTAAAAATAGTAATTATTCTTACAGTTCCGTATTAAGGTGCTCACAATAGAAAATAAAATTAGTATTAATTTTCTTTACTAAGGTCCTTTGGGTGATGCCAAAGAAAACCTGATATAAATTCATTTCCTTTCACAAATGTGATTTTCATAATGATGAGAGTAATAAGAGAAGTGGGTAAGAAGATGTCGCATTTTGAAAAAAATGACTCCATCATTCAGTTGACTTTACAGCCCCAGGACTAAGTAAGCTATTCAGTTAAAATAAAAGCTGATTTTAAAAAAATTTCCTGATTGTATCTCTTTGCACAAAAAATATGTTCTTCATTTTCTTTGGGGGAAAGAAGGGGTCTGGGAGTGGCTGGCAGGAGGTCTGGATTAGATTCTGGCTCTACTTCTAGTAGGAATGGGTAAGTCAGGGATTCACCATGCCGTGGATTCCATGTCGGTGGGATTCAGCAGTGGGATATTAGGGAAGCTTAAAACATAGTATAAAAATAAAGTGAAAACTTTAAAAAGTGAAGGGAAATATAAATACATATATTTAAATCTAATAATACATTTTTTTCAAAAGAAGTAAATAGTTTTGTGAGTATATAGCAGATTAGGTAGTATGGTGGACCACACAGTACATGAAAGGAGGCCAGAAAGCATAAAAGGAGGACATTGGGTGCAGGTGGGTGCCTGCGGGCACCAGAAAAGGCTGGCAGAAAACAGATGTGAGCATGACCAGTCAGAGATAAAGAGCCTTATGCAGGAATGTGGTGACAGGGTAAACAACACTAAGCATTAGTCATTTCCAAACATACTCTCAAATCTACCACGGTTTGAACTCTGAAAATAAGTGTGTTCATTTTTGTGGTTACTATGCAACCACTTAGATATTTCTTTGTAATTTTTGCCCAATCTGCTAGTTTTGGGTACTATTTCAACCATTTTATTTGCGAAGAAGTCAATCCTTTGTAACTATTACCATTAGACTGAATCACATAAAATCATTTCTTTTGTAGGCCAGCAATGACCAAATATCATCACTTTCAAATGTTTGAGCCTATATGTTACATTACACCTACTTTATGTGTTCAAATATCTTCAATTTAATTGTACCATAGCTCTCAGGTGGTCTTATTGCTGCTTCCATGGATAGATGGCAGGTAAAGTGGGGTTTTCTTATGCTCTCTTAATTTCCCTTCGATACATATCTATTCACCTAAAGACTAATCCTTCCACAGGAAGAAATGGATTCCCCAACTCTGAAAGGCTAAACATTCAGCCATGCCCTTTTGGGATCTGAAATCACCTTTCCTTATACAGAACCTACCTAATTCCTTATCAATCATTCTTGCTTCAAGCTTGGTCATGTATCTTTTCTATAAACTATGTAATTAGAATTATCAGCACCATTTTATATTTACTTTCCATGTACCAAGGGTGTTTATGTAAGTTCTCAGGCCCCCTTACTTATGCTATCTCATACTGTTAATTCCTTATAGTGTTATGAAAGATGCTTGGCAAAATTAAAGCACTCAATTTGTATGCAAGTCCATAACACGCACATTTTAATACTTCCTGTTCCTTTGTGTTATGCCCTTCCCTCTCTTCTTTATCTATCTAACTCCTGTATTGTCTTCAAAACCCTAATTTGGGTGACATTATTTTTTGCTACCATGTTACTCTGTGCTTATGTTTATATATAACTTAGCTGGGCATGGTGGCATGTGACTATACTCAGGAGGCTGAGGCAGGAGAATCACAGGAGCTCAGGAGTTTGAAACCAGCCTGGGGAATATAGTGAGACCCTGTCTCTAAAACAAAAATAAAAAAAAAGACATCACACCATGATACCACTTTGGATTTGAGTAGCTGGAATGCTCTTCCTCCAGATAGCCATATGGCTGGCTTTCACTGTTTTTGCTGGTTGTCCAATGTTTATTTCTATAAGATCATCCCTGCCACTCTAACAATCATTATTCTACTGTTAGGAGAGTATATTTTAACTCTCACATCTGTATTCAGTTAGCTACAAGCTAACATTGTAAGCTAAGTTGTGTATACAAGCTAACACATGCAATTTTCTAACATTGCTTTGCAGAAATATGACTGATTGCCTACTTCTTTCCAGTTTTTATCTTTATCTCAATCTTTTCTCTTGCTGTGCACTGCCTAGAATGCCTGAGACACAGCTACTACCTATTGAAATTATAGGATTAAAATTCTATCAACTGCATGGAAATTTCCTTAAACACTCCACTTTCACTGATACCTTCTTTTATGTTTCCATGACATGTTATGAATTGACAGTTTGTATATGTGTAGATGTCTTGTCCTAGAAATAAAATAAATATGTTTTCAAGGCAGAGACTGTGACTTTCTTTTCTATATTCTTACTAGGATCTAGCTCTGTGCTTTGCAGTTAGCAAGTATTCAATAGCACAGCTAGAATAACTGAATGAATGGATGAGTGCCACCTACTCCTTTATTGTCCATCAATAATGCACCCAAGGCTAAATCTTAGCTTTCCAAACTCACTTGGCCAGACCAGTTGACATTCTTTATTCCCATCTGAGGAAAATTATTTTTTTTCAGTCTTTGTACATTGGGAAACTTGTCAGATAAAAGGCCTAATATAGATTCAATCATATAAAATGACTATGAGCTATGGCAACTAGAAGACATGATAAACATTCCAAAGCTATTCATAATCCCATTCTTCCTTGTTAAATGCTACAATAGAGGCTGGAAAACAAGAATAATTTCTTTCTCAGGGACTCCTTCCCACCTCTGACAGCAATGAATGGTTATATGTTAAATTTCTGGCCAATAAGTGTAGACAAAAGCTTCTGGGGAAGGTTTCCATCCCTGAATAAAGAGGCAAAACCTCACTAGGAAAAATATATTACCACTTTGCCTTCCCTTTCTTTTTGCTGGAATGTGATGAAAGGTGTGGACGCATAGCATCCCAAATGAGATAGGAGATGCTGAGCATGAAGACAAAAGCCTATCGAATGGGGTGTCAGAAAAGAAACATCAAAATATCGTAAGTTGCTTAGGGCATTATTATGTCTTTGTACTAGTCATGGATTTCATTCCTTTAGATCTTTAGTTGTAGAACTCCAATGTATTTGAACCACTAGTGATCACATTTTATTTTGTTTGATAGCTGAATACAAAGCTGGCTGATGCAGTGATCTACAAGGTCATGACTGAGGTATCTTATACTCATCCTCATTCAAGCAAGATTATGTTTAACTTAAAAAGACAAATGAAAAGGAATCTATTTTAATAAATATATTATTGGTGGAAATATTCATAGTCTACCTTGAAAGGAGTGTTATGTTAAGATTGCTTTGCTTGTAGAGTAATTTATGCCTTTAATTTCTGTGTCTAGTCTTTCTAAGCCAGAATAAAAGTCTGTTCATCATGATCTCTGTTATAGCCCTCCGCATATTTGAAGGCTGCTGTTATATCACATCATATATTAAGCTCAGTTAATAGATTAACAGACCCTTTATTTTTACATTTACTATAGCATCTAACATGGTTAGCAAATGCTTTTATTATTTCTTTATTTTCTTTATAAGATAAATGGGTATTACATATACCAAAGCATCTGTTTTGGAGCCACTATGATCACTAAAAGAATCTTTTCATTGTTCCTACCTTCTCCTTCCTACATGTGTGGAAAAAACACATGATTCCACACATACACATGGTTGTCTAATTCTATTGTTTAACCCTCCATGAATAGATGTCCACAATGCTCCCTACATCTCTCTTTTTTTTTTTTTTTTTTTTGAGACAGGGTCTTGCTCTGTTGCCCAGGCTAGAATGCTGGAGTGCAGTGGTGTGACCATGGCTCACTGCAGCATCCATTTCCTCGACTCAAACAATCTTTTCACCTCAGCCTCTCAAGTAGCTGGGACCACAGGCACTATACCCAGCTAATTTTTGTATTTTTTGTAGAGATGGGATTTGCCATGTTGCCCAGGCCGGTCTTGAACTCTTAGGCTCAAGTGATTCTCCCCCCTTGGCCTCTCAAAGTGCCTATGTCTTTAAATGTGAGTATTTGAGCATATTGAATGATGATGACCTGCCCTTTGCTGGTAAAGATATACTAATAACATAATATAAACAATACGTACACTTGGGATGTCTTTCCAGGGCTGGAAAGAGAATCATATTCTGTTTTTCCATGTTCTCATTTTATCCTGAATGTGCCAATTTAATTATTTGCCAACATGTTGCCAGACATGCTCCCTAGTCTGTGCTAAAGCATTTGTTACCATGTACTACATTGAACATACTTGAATGTTTCTGTCATGTTTACCACCCAGATGGTGAGAATCCAAGGAAAGGAGACACTTGTATTAAGTTCACAGTTTATCTGTTCTTGGAAACATATAACTGCATGAAGAGATCAGGATGAAAATATCGTTATAGTTACCCCAGTTACCTCAAGGTGGAAGTCTGGGTCAGACAACCACGGGGACCTGCCATTGCAAAACTTCTCTGTATATGCCTGGGGGACCTGGCTGTTCTAGTTTTTCACCATCTTTGACATCTGCTTGTTCTCACTTGGCTCCTGCCTTACCCTCAGGGTCTCAATAATGACTTCTTGACTTTGACAACTTTGACAAAAATGCATTCATCAAAATTATAATAAAAAATAAAATCTATTTTTAAAATATGATATTTAACTCATGTATTAAATTGCTTTAAAAGGCAGCAGGGCGGTGAAACCCCGTCTCTACTAAGAATACAAAAAAAAAAAAAGAAAAATTAGCCAGGCGTGGCGGCGGGCGCCTGTAGTCCCCCCTACTCGGGAGGCTGAGGCAGGAGAATGGCGTGAACCCGGGAGGCGGAGCTTGCAGTGAGCCGCGATTGCACCACTGCACTCCAGCCTGGGCGACAGAGCGAGACTCCGTCTCAAAAAAAAAAAAAAAAAAAAAAAAAAATGCTGCCGGGATGTTCTAAAAACACTCCCCACCCCTTGTACTGACTCCAATCCCATTCAGATCCAAAGGGTAACCCTCCAGATTAGGATACCTGGATTTTTCATGGTAGTCCCGAGAACATTAGCCTTAAGGGAAAAAATATAGCATATTTGTCCTTTTCCTGTCATAAGCCATTTTTAATATGGGAGTATCACAAAGTCAAAAAGAAAGAGATCTTAAAATATTTCTTCCAATGCTAGAGCCTATGTGGACATAAGGGAGAGGCTCAGGGCAGGGGGAGAATAAATCCTTGATTTCAAATCTAGCAACTATCAGGGTTATAAGGGACCTCGGAGAGGAGATTTTGTAGTCTTCCCAAACAGCCTATTCTAGAGCTTCACACACAGGTCTGAAGAGGAAGTAGACATCTGAGATGAAGAGGAGAGCAGTTCCTGGTATATTTCGGTTAGAGTTTTCCAAATTTTCAAAAATCATTCACTATATAGTATTAAAGGCCACTGTATCAGATTTTGTCATCAAGTAACATGACTATTAAAAATGGTAGTTGAGAAAGAATTTTAAAAAAACAGTTCTGTTTTCTACAGGGAAGTAGGAAGGAGTGTCTGCACTGGGGCACAATAAGATTGCTACAAACTTACAGGATCACATCATGTCCTCTGAGACGTGCTCTCAGAAAGATAGTAGGGACTTAGTTTTTCTCCCACATAGCATCGTTAAGTCTCTTCTTGCTACCGAAATAATTCGTTTTGCTGCCAAAACAGTTTGCAATTATGACAAAATTCACATCCAAAAGATATTTAAAACAAATATTTTCCCATTTTTGTATAGTTCCCTCTCAAATGTGGGAAGATGGTCTGTTCCTTATTTCTCACAGCCACAGGCACCGCCTTCCAGAAACAGAATAAAAACCCACACTGTCCTCAATTATTCAAAGACCAATTTTCTGAGAACATATAAACTTATTTGATATATAAAAATTATAGCAAACATTGTCTTAAATAATAATATTTATCATTCTCTTCACCCCCATAGCATCTTTAACATACTTTTCTTTCCATGAACTAAAGGCATGTAGGGTTAAAAAAAAGTATAGTTTGGAAACATTAGTGGTGTTTATTATGATTATTAATATAGAAAAAATATTTTGCTTTTGTCTCAATACTCTGTTGTTAGGCAGGTAACATGATGTCATACATTAATAATAAAAATAATAATAGCATAACAATGAAAATAATAATTACTAACATATATTCAATAATGTTTATTTTCCAATCATTTATTCTTTAGTACCTGTGAGGTATGCACTCAAATTATTTTCATTTAAAGATAAGGAAACTGAGGCACAAAGCGGTTAATCACTCTTCCCAGAGAAAAGCAGTAAGTGGCAGAGTTGGGATTTAAATCCAAGAAATCTAGTTATTAAAGCCTGCAATCTTAACCATCACAAAACTATCCTGCAATCAATATTATATATCAAGGCCACTAGGTCAGCTGTGGATTCAGAAGGTGGCTACAGGTCTCCAATGTCCAGGTCAGGGCTTTGTCCATTTGACCAAGCTTCTAACTGAAGTCTTCTTCAACTACTTCCAGAAGCTTGCCAGTACCTCAATGTATTCAGGCTCAAGATTGCTTCCTTCTATTTCCACAAATGCACCTGTGCCCTTTTACACTTTTCATGAAGCTTAAAGCTTATTTAATTGGATGAAGGAATCTTATAGCTAAAAGTGCTCCTGAGAATTCTATTTTTCAAAAGATAAAAAGTTAAAGACTATTATTATTCAAATTGTTACCACCACCAGCTTGGTTTGGCTCCATTAACGCACTGAAAAGAATGAACTTCAGCAAGGAATAGAGGGAAGCAGGTGTACTCAGCAGGGTTCAGGTCTAAGAAATTCAAAATTACACAGAAGTGGTGGTCATAAGTTCAGTCTTGCCTGCAGTGCAATTGTGCAGGGAGATTGTCTTTATTCATCAGTGGGTAATCATAGACTCGTCAGAAATCTATTGCACTTCCTAGGTGAAGAGACGTGGGAAGTACAACACAGATGCTCAATCTCCCCTTTGGCCAGTAGCTCTTGCTCTGGCCAGGGGTCAGGCGTAATTCAGCTCCTCCCTCCCACATGTGTACAATGGTCACATGGCACAGTTACATCAACTGCAGAGAGGGAATGGTTAGTTCAGAATGAAAGCGTGATATGAGATCCTTACGTTGGAGGAAAAACTATAGTTTTCATGATTCCTATGAAAACATTTAAGTGTGACAGTTATAGAAGCAGACATGTTAAAAGAACAGAAACATAACTGTCAAATAGCTAAGGGTATCTATAGTATCTGTAAAACTATTTTAGGAAAGGAGAAAGGAATACTGGTCAATGTGTGGAAAGTGGAAGAAAAAGGCAGGAGTATCCAGAATATGGAGAGAACTACATTTTAGGTTTTTCAATATTCCTAATTACTTTTCCCTTTTTTTGTCCCTTTCCATCCTCCTCTATTTCTCTTATTTCTATCATATAAGCCACTCTATTAAAACATTCCAGTTTAAAATATATATTGACATTTGTGTATATACTAATATGGTCTCATGTTTATACACACACACTCTCACACACACACACACACACACACACACACACACAGCTCTCAGAAAATTCCCAGCCAAAATGATCCTAGAATCAAGTTGTTCAGATCAAACATTGGCTCTGCCTCTTATTAGCTCTGTAATCTCAAATAAATTGCCTACATTTTCCATGCCTCAGATTCTTTATCTATAAAATAAGAATAAGAAATACATATACATTATAAAGTTGTTAAGAATTAGAAGAGTGAATAAATGTATGCATTAAACATAGCATCTAGCACATATGAAGTCCTGAATATTATCAGTTATCTTAATGATTATTTTTATTGATATTACTATTAATAAAATAGCCAATACATCAATACATCATGGAAGTGCCTTGCCTAAATCTGGTTAGGTTGACTCTGAGATTGCTGATTTGTACAATATAAAAACTGGCTGACCAGTTGGACATGGTGGCTTCTTAATCACCATCGTTTGGAAGACAAGTCTTTGTTGATTCAAGATACCAGGTCCCTGAAGTGCTGTGTCCAGTCCAGAATATCACACATTATAAATGAAATTGAAATCCAAGAGTATTCAGAGGAGGCTAACCGGAGGTAGGTAGTGGGGAAGGGAGCAAGATAATGTGTCAAATACGGAAAACTTAAAGAAGTCTATTTTGTCCTAAAAAATAATAGTATAGATGAAAATACAATAAATACATTCAAATACTTGAAGTATTATTATAAGGAAGAAAGTATGGTCCTATTCCATGCTGCGGTAAGGATAAGAATTTTATCTTGTTGGCGTATCAGTGGTTCTCAGTGTTTTCTGGAGACTCAAGATAGTCCCCAAGAACCTTTTAAAGATTCTTCAAGGTCAAAATAATATTAATTAAGTGTTATGAGTATTATTATTTACCTAACAGTACTAAGAAGTTATTTTTCTTCTTCTCTCTCATTCTCTCATTAGTAGAAAATTAATGTTTCCAGAAACTATATGGTATATAATATTACAACAGATAGAGAATATTAAAGCATATATGAGAATCCAGCTATCTATTATTCAGACAGACATTTAAAAGATTTGTAAAAATGCAAAAAAGTGACACTATTCCTATTAAATCTTTGTTTTATAATATCTGGTTGTTTTTCATACAATATGTGCTATTTATATTAATATATTGATTTATTATTATTTAATAAATAATTAAATATTTTAAAATTCTATCTAGTTTATTTTACAATAAATATATATAACCCACATAGACAAAACCTCTTTATATTCCACAATTATGCTAAAAATTAGGTTTATGTTTAAGAATGTTTAAAAAGGAGTCCAGAGACTAAAAGGCATGAGAAACATTGGTTTCAATTAACAGTGTTAAGATTTTGAAACCACAAATTTCAAAATATTTCAGCAGTTCAGCACTAAATTAGGCTTTTCTTTTTTTCTTAATGTAGTTTTTAGAAAATATTCAGTGAGTGTGTGTGGTAAGAGGGATATATATACATTGATCCTAGTCACCTCTAAGGCTTCTTTCAACTCAAAGATTCTGCAGCTCCATTGTGAAAGGAATTGAAAAGAGAGCTTACTGAAAATACTGTTCTCATAAGCCTGGTGTGAAAGTTAGCAGCTAAGCATGTGGTTAGGAGCGGCAGTTTTGGGGTGAAGCAAAAAGTGAAGAACTCCAGTGCAAGAATATAATGCATTTTTGGATCATTGTGTTGGTGGTAGATTATCTAATGAAAATGATAAGACTGAAGGGTTTGCTGTCAAAGTTACTTAGATTTCATAATGGAATGTCTTCTCAGGAGGATGGAAACTAGAGTCCATGTTGGCCTTACAAGTCTTCTCTGAATATTCCAGAAACTAATAGTTAAGATTCTTTCAAAAAGGTAAGTTGATAGATGCCCACACAGTTTCTCCTCTAGACTGTGTCACAGATGACAACCTCATAACCTCTACCTGTTGTCCTGGTTCTACCATTTATTTCAACACAGAATACACACACACACCACACACACACACACACACACACATATATTTGGGTGTGTTTATGTAAATTACATATTTCCTCTTTCATATAACTTTATATTCAAAATTTAAACACAGCTGCACAAAAGATAAATGTGCAAATCATAGGAACACAATTCACAAAGGAAATGTAAATAATAAGCATATGATAAAACCCTGAACACAGTAAAAATTAAATTAATCACAAAATGGTAAATTGAAGAAATACCAGTTTTTATAAAAGTAACACTTTTGAAAATGATAAAATTAAACTCTGACAAAAGTATGTGAAAGGAAACTCATACAATGTTAGGAAGAGAATAGAGGAAACAACTTTTCTGAAAGCCATTTGTCAATATATATGAAGAGACTGAAAATGTTTTCATTTTTTAACACAGGAATTCCAGGTCTAGGACACTATATCAAAAAAAAGATCATATATATATATATATATATATATATATATATATATATGGACATATATATGGACAAATATATCTATATATTTATATAGATATAATCTATTTATATAGATATATATGTCCATATACGTGGACAATGATTTCTGTATGATGATATGCATTTTAAAGAAAAACTACCAAAATATCTTTCTTTGAAAACTAAAACAACTAGTTTTACAGAAAAATTAAGAAAAATATTCTTGGTCAGGCACAGTGGCTCACGCCTGTAATCCCAATACTTTGGGAGGCCAAGGCGGGCAGATCACCTGAGGTCCTGAGGTTGGGAGCTCGAGACCAGCCTGAACAACATAGAAAATCCCTGTCTCTACTAAAAATACAAAATTAGCAAGGCATGGTGGTGCATGCCTGTAATCCCAGCTACTCAGAAGTCCGAGGCAGGAGAATTCTTTGAACCTGGGAAGCGTAGGTTGCAGTGAGCTGAGATCATGCCATTGAACTCCAGCCTGGGCAATGAAAAAAAAAAAGCAAAAAAAAAAATATATATGTATTCTTCAAAGCCATGTTGGTTTGGTCATTAAACACACACTGTCGATTTCCTCAGACAGTCCGAACTATCGTGTCCTCAAAATGAGCACTGGCCCCCTCTGTCCCTCCACTGCATGGGGCCTACACAAGAAATCCCACCTGGGGAGGGGCCACATGTATCTTTTCCACAAATTTGTCTTCTGTTCCTTGGCATAGAGCAATACTAACATTTGTGAAATATTTGTAGAAAACACAGCTGCCTTTTCTACAAAATATGCAAGTAATTACTATAAAATAGTATGTGTCTAGTGGTGACAGACAAGAGAACAAGGCAGAAATCAAAACATGAAGAAGCTGGTGTCTCCTTCTTAGAGACCAGGTGTCTCCACTAGCCCATTAATTGTCATAATGGCCTCTGAGTTCTAACCTTAAAAAAAGTATATTCTCTTATCTCTCAAAATTTTAATTTTACTTGAAATAAGTTGGTTCTCAACTTCAAATTCATCATTAAGATATTTTTAAAATATGATTTTGAAAAATCTTGTCTGGAAAGAAAATTCTTTTCCTTAGCAGAACGCCACAGAAATGCAGATACTTCCTGCGCATGTCTGTAGGGTAGTACCGTATCAGTTATTCAACTTAACGTTCTCAAATGATTTGATGAAAGCACTCTTTCTTCTAAAGATTCTTACTCTAAAAGGTAAGGGTTAGCTGGATTTTTTTTTTTGGATTATCATGAGGAGCAACCAGAAAACTGTGCTACACTCTCTAAGGGGACACAAATTGTCATAATTTTCCAGAAAGGAACATAATAAGAACAGAAGTGCAATTCCATCAAATCTTGCCACATATGTGTTACATTTAGTATTCTGGGTAACAAATGCCAAACTTTTAACCACTTTTCAGGGGTGAGAGGAGAGGAAAGGACAGAGCCGGCATAGAAAACTTGTTAATTAGTCTGTAAAAGAGCAAGCAAAAGACTTCACCAAAGTTACCACTTCAGGACAAGAAATATTTTTCTTATATAGGAGAGACTGATAAATCATGGTAAACATTCTACGTTATCCTTATCATTCCGTCTCAAGGAGGTATGTATACATTGTGTCTTTCATGAGCACAATTACAGTCCACATCACTTTATTTTATTCCCTCCTTGTATAAGAAAGCAACATAATAAAATAATACTCAGGCTCAATATTTTGCCATTTTTACTATCAGATTACCAGTCATAGTGTCAGTCTATCTATACAAAACATGCTAAAATATTCCCACGATACCAGATTATCTCATAGAATTATAGAGCCTCATCAGTTCATGTGTATCATTATTAATTCAACAAATATGTATTTAAAGGCTACTCTGTAACGATAGGCACTGCCTATACAAAGACAAAGGAAAACATCTCTCTCTCTCTGAAAGGTGCTTAAAGCAGAAAGAAACTAAAAACCAAATAAGGAAGGGTATTCCAATGAGACAGACCAGAAAGATGTCCCTGTGGGCATGTAGGATGGCTGAAATGTATATGTGCTCCACATCTCTCCCCTGGAAAGGTGAAAAACCTGTACTGTTGCACAGAGCTTGGGCACAGTTTAGTTTAACACACATTCATCGAGTATTGAATCATAATTATACTATTTTTGTCTGTGGAAGAGATGCCACAAATGCATTTTTTATGGGCTATAAAGAAAGCCAATGTCAACAAGAAACCTAAAAAAAATGTGTTTGTGTTCATTCAGGAGTAAAGCAGAGACATTCAAAGATGAACAGCAATTCTGAATGGAAAGAGGCCAGCTGTAAAACGTCATAGAAGACCTGCAGTAGAGATACAATCCTGAGAAGAATATTTAGCAAGAATGGGGTTTCAGATTTCTGGTATTTCCATATGGGTGGAGATTGAAGAAAAAAAAGAAAAGAGCAAAAGTTTTCTCATAATGTTTTGCAACTTCTGCTTCCGGGCCCAGTCAGAGCCCAAAAGCAGCAAGAGAAGTAAAATGAAAACACTGAACATTTTTTTTGTTTTGTTTTGTTTTAAATAATAATTAATTTTCACTCACAAAACTGAGTATACTTAATTCAGGTATGTTTGAGATTTCAAATGAATATCTATAGTGAATGCATTTTTATTTAAAAGGAGAAAATGGTTTATTCTTGACATCCTTTCTTAGCTTAGAGAGAAATAAAATCTTCAGAAAATAGTGGTGGCTTACAAAAGTTGGATTTTTTTAAAGGAATAAAATGGAAAGCACGAGTAATCTGATGATAATATTCAATAACAGAAAAAGTTCTTGCCACTAACACTTTATCAACTATAAACATAAAAACCTACTTTCTTAAAGATTAATTATCTACACTGTGATCAGCATAAATGCACAGCTAATTTTTTTCTGCTCTAGTAAGTGAATATTTTGGATTTCAGAATGAACTTTGCTTTACTAGAAAGAGGTAAATCAAAATATTTAATCTACATAGGAATACATACAGTGTGTGTGTGTGTATATATATATTTATATATATACACTATATGTATTAAAAAAAAAACCTCTTGATTCCATCCTATGGTGGAGTTAGAATGTTCTATTAACACAAGTAGATATTTCGTTTTAAACAAAACTGATTTTTTTTCCTACACTAATTTAATCTCCTTGCCTAATGTTCTTTAGTCCTCCAACAGGTCTGCCTACTTAAACAATTTCTAGTCACAGGATGTGGCTGCCACAGTTTTATCTCCATCTGGCAGAACATAACCAACCTGCTTGAGCTCTCAGCTCCTGTTTTATAGCAACTAAAGTTTCCTTGTTCACCCGCTCCCCCACGCCACCTCCATGACGTGCATTTCTCGTAAAACTACAGATCAGTAAACTTCCTCAGGGAACTTGCAGTAATGTATGACAAAAAAAAAAAAAACAAAAAACAAAAAACTAGTAGCCCTGTGATGTGTAGCAGAATTCATCAGACTAGCTGTCTGTTCTGGCACTGATTGCCAGGCAAGCTTCCATTGTGCCTTCATAGCTCATACACAGTGCACTTTCCCTGTATTAGGCCCTTGTAGGTATCTGGATCCATGGGCAAAAACTTGAGTAGGGGAGGGAAAGAAAGGGAAGCAACAATACCTTTTAAGTCAAAAACTGAGAATAATAGATTGCTATTTCTTCTATATGCAAAGGATGAAAATATACCTATGACCCTTTTCACTGTGAAATGCTTAATGTTTGTTCTAGCAATTCTTACTGGAAATGACTGCCTTACACAGTTGCAAATGTCTTAGAATAGTATAGTGAACATCTATGATTGGAAATAAGTCCCTGTTAATCTTTCAAATAATGACCAAATTTTTGTAACCTCTGGTAGGTACAATTCGTAAATACATGGATAACTCTTACAGGACAAAAATTACATCCTACTTATAGTGAATATATTTTTATATCATTTTGTTAAAACTTCTTAAATTTTTCTAATAGTTAATACTTAATTGTTACTACAAAATTCTCACCTGTGAATCTTTTAAGTTTTTTAAAAATTATGTGATATCTCCTTTGTTCATTGTATAGAGTACCCAACGAACTTCATGGTGAGTGATGCTTAGTGGGTGCTTTCTGATGAAGCATCCAGTAGTTTAACCAACTGGTCTAGAATAGCACAGTGTTACTGCTGGGAGCCATAAAGAAATTATTTCAATGAAGTTTGTAGTTTTCAGTTAAGGTGGCTAGGGTAGGCAATTTTGCCCTCAGTTGACATTTGGCAATGCCTGGAGACATTTCTGGTTGTCACAGTCAGAGCAGGTTGGGTAAATGTGCTGCTGTGTCTAGTTTACAGAGGCAGGAATGTTGCTAAACATCCTACAATGCCCAGGTCATCTCAGTTCTCCAACTAGATTGTCCACAGGGTCAAGATTCAGAAACTAGTCTAAGCTGTAAATCTCACTGAAAAAGAAACCAGGCTTAAAGAAGTCAAGTCACTTATTGAATACCACATACCAGAATCTCAGTCTAGTGAAGAGGAATTAGTAATAGAGTTAGGATTCAAAACTTGTCCCAAAATGCCTAATCCAACATTCATTTCATTGTATCAGGCCACAGAACAAATACCTCATAATATGCTGGAGGAATTCTAGACCAAGTTCCCTCATTTTTGGTGTAACAAAGGACAAGTCACTAAATATCTATGAGTTTCAATTTTCTTTTTTGTAAAATAGATGCGTTGAAATAGATTATTTCTAAGGTCTCTTGCTTCTCTAAAATTAATTGTTGTATAAATAATGCTACTTTACATTATAGTAGTTTCCAAATTCCTTTTCTCTTTCTTTAATTTTTTTTCTCTTTTTAAAATGTTTGGTACAGGAATTCTAACTCAAATAAAAGCAGGAAATATGTCAGCTAATTAAAAAAAACCGGCAACTTGAACAATACTTGTCTCTCAGTAAATAGTAAAGACCATCACAAAATAAAAGGTATTCTTATTTGTTATTATTTAATAGAAGACACATTCTCTGGTCCATTTATATCCTGTATACAAATTAACTTATTTTGATTGTATCCATGCAATCTAAGACAATAAAAATAGAAGAAAAAACAGCCACATAAACAGCAAAGTGTTATTACTGATTTAATTGAATTGATTTGACATTTTCAGTCCACTGATATATTTCCTGAGATAAAAGTTGCCCTTAGTATTCATGAATCTGTAGTTCATTCTTAGTAATTTTAACATGAAAAATTGATGTGTTTAAATTTTCACTTTAATATTCATGTTTTCTATAAAATATTGTAAAATTCTAAGATATTATGGTTATACATATTTATTACTATTATTACATATTAATGTGAATTTTGAGAAACTTTCCTTTGCATGATTTTCTCAAATTACAAAATATATTATTCTCTTATAAAGGACAGCAGGTTTAAAATGGAGCAAGGAGCATTGGAAATATATTTAAGGGGAGGGAGGGGCCAAATTTGGTTGTTAAATACCATATTTTATTGATTAAAGAGTTTGGCAGATTAATTGCTACAATTGTAAAATAGGACAACAGATAAAAAGAGAAAATATATAGTTGTCTTTTCTTCACTAAAAAAACTAGTACTTGTAATCTGTGTATATAAATTTTTCGTGTACCATATAATCCCTAATTTTAAATCTCCTTTCATTATAAAGTGAGAGAATGAAATCTTAGCTATCACATTGTTGTTTCAATCCACTAGCTAATTTTTTTAAATCAGAAGAAAATAAGCTGTCATTTATTTATTTATTTTACTCAAAAAGAATTTTAATCTGACCCATGTGCCACTGTTATTGTTAACCTCTAGACATTTTAACAGCATTTTGATGGACCTTAAATCAATTAACACTATAAAGGAAAACATCTGTGGCTCTAATACATTTTAGAGTTACTCTTAATATTTTTTTGTAAGGATTTTAAAATGCATTTAATTAAATAAAGCCACTGAAAATTCCATAATTCACAGTGTGTTAAAATACCAGATATTAAAATCACGTCAATTTTATTAACAAACATGAGGCATGCATATCTGTAAGAGGGAGTTATTAGAAAAGCCAGCGGAAGGAAATGTTTTCTTGCCATCAAATCCAGATGTTCAGTTCATAAAATGGAGGCCTAGAAAAAAGGCAAGTTATGGCACTGAATAACATTAAGAAGCGTTACCTCTGATAAAATTCATGGACAAAATAGATCTTTAAATAAATAATGCTTTACTTTTGTCTTAAAGTAGTATTTTCTACTTTACATGTGGAATAGAATAATGGGTGAATTAAAATAAAAGGCACATAATTTCCTTTTCCACAAACACCTTTATGTAAATATTCATATGTTTTAAAATGTAAAGAATACTCTTTAGCAAAAAGATGATCCATGGGAAGTATTTTCTTCCAGACACTGACAAAACTTAAACTGGAGCGAAGATTCCACAAAAATCATGGCTCTATGGATGGCAAGGATTATTTTTTCTTTTCCTTGATCTGTTGCTCTTTAGCAAATACAGATGTTTATAGAATAGATTAATTACAGAATAGGAGTTCATGTTGACAGTGGTTGAACATTCTGTATTTCAGTATTTCAATTTGTAAAATAATTTGTGAATCATTTCTTGTTTTTTTAATCAAGATTTCAACTTTTATTCCAATTCTTAAAGTGAAAAACCAAATGAGAAACTAATCATAGTAGTGGTAACAAAATTTCTATACTCCTTTATCGTTTTTCAAATGCTTAAACAGTATAACAATTCCTCATATTATTTTGTTTTGTTACACTTAATGAAGTGATTTTACATTCATTTTCTATAACCACCTTATACGTAGACATGTAAACTAAATTAAAATTTAGTTTAAGAGAAAGCATTTTATTAAGGCTAACAAAAAAGTCCTTTGGATGCTTTGAGCATAACACATTTGTTCTTGAAAAGTGACTAATTAAGATAGATGGGAAGATATGTACAGTTAAATTGATATTAATAGAAAATACCTTTACAGTGTTCCTGAAAAATGGAATGTGACAAAACTGGCACAAATTTTACATTTGACAACTAAAGGTATTTTTATTATTCTTATTTTCTTGCCTTTGAAGTACTTCTTATATTGTATCTGACTCGTTCTACTTCCAGAATTTTGAGGTTCCACTTGCCTTTGATCTTTCAGTAGCCATTCCCAATAGTTCTTTCATCCACACCATCGAGCCGCCCTTGACATAACACCATCTTTTATTCTTAGAAAAGGGAAAATCTTTTATTTCAAAGGCTTTGGTGATTTTCCCTCATGGGTCACCCTGAAAGTATTTTTCATCTTCCTATGGGTGAGAACCTCTTATTCCTTGAGCCTCTGGATGGACTCCTGGGTTCCCTCTCTTCTAAAGTTACCATTCAGCAAGGAGGAATCACAGCTATTCACATTTCAATGATGCTGATTCCTCTTTTACCTAGATGGAATGCTATTTCTTTCATTTACACTTTATCCTTGAAACAATGACCAAAAAAAAAAAAGGGTAATATTTGTTTACGTAATTGGATTAACATCTGAAAATGGATTACTTAGGTTTGCTAGGCTTTTATTATCTTTTATTGGATAGGTATTTAAATATCTCTCTGGTGCTTACACACAACTAGATTATTCAGCATTGGGAGTAAATTATGCTTTCTGATTTCACAAATGATAGTGCCTACATGCACGATTATCTGCTTCTCACACACTAATACAGTGTTTGTGTTATATGGGAGAGATTTCTCTCAATCTCTTCCCCCTTCCCCTCCTCTCCCTCCCTCCCTTTCTAGTTCTCTCCTAGTCTTTTAAATAAGGATTAAGCAGATGTGCTTAAACTGCGGCTTTATATCTACATGAAAATTAAGCAGCGACAGGAAGAGAAAGCTGCACAGCTTTCTCCTGTACTGAGATTTTTCAATACATTCTCACTATTGAGATCACAGTAAACTGCCAAAACACCTGATGCGCCCTTTTTTCAACTTAAGCAAAATATCATAATACAAAATAAATACCGATAGATCATATTTAAGTTACTTACTCTTTTGTTTTAACCATAATTCTGTTTTCCCTATTAAGACTAGTGACCAAGGATTGTACATTCGTTGAATAATCTGTAGAACTAGAAGCAATGTAGAAACAAATCTGAGGCTGAATAGCCTGGTGTGCATTGAAGCATCATATGGAGTGCCAGGCACACGAGACACTCAATGTTACTTCCCTTTCCTGACCCCTTCTTTCTCAACCTTAGTACTGTATTTAAAATTAGAACAAGGAAAATTAAATTGAACTATTCCCTTTTAGGATATGACAACCAGTAAATTTTATGATAATATCAGGAAACACAAATTAACAAATTTGCTTATGTTAAAGACAAGTATAAGCTAGACTATACAATGACATGAGCTTGTTAAATGAGATAACATTTATAAAATGTTAACAGAAGTGCCTGGCACAGAGTAAGCACTATTTTTTATTAGCTTTTTCTTATTAGCTAACCACCAGTAAGTACAAAATTAAGTAGCTCTAAAAAAAAGTTTTAAGGAAACCTGCCAAGCCTGAGATCAAAATTACACACAGAGATATACACACACTGACAAAAGGATTTATATCTATTTATGTGCAGTTTAATTTTCACGATATTAGATTCTACCTAATATCTGCCACATTGATAACAACTACTTTTTAAATTTCTCAAAGAAATGGAAGGTTTAATTTCAGTTTAAAAATAAACCAGTTATTTAACCAATACACACACACACACACACACACACACACACAATCCCAATCTGTTCAAGTATTGTCTTAAACAATATTTTAAAATATGTATCAAAACAAAACATAAGCTACAAAATGGTTCAACAGAGCATTACCTTTGCATGAAATTTTCAGTTAAATTTCTAATTCTTTAGTCTCTCAATATATTCTGTAGTTTTTATTAAAACAAATTATGTTAAGATGTACCTCTTTCTTTTTCTAATTGTTAAGCTAGCAAGGGATATATTAGGTAAAGACATCTAATTCTTCCAAATATTATAAATTCCTTAATATTACTTTTGTAACAATATTAAAGTTAATAGAGATATTTACCAATTGCATGTTCACAACCAACCTTTCTAGGGGAGACATAAATTCAGATTTTTATGTGGAATTTACTGAATTCTCACTATAATGCCAACCCTTTTCAACATTCAAAGCAAAGTATAGTTCTACTTTTTTTCACTGGCTACCTCTTCTCACTATCTTTTCCTAGCTCCTCCTTGTGTCTCTTCCAAATATGAAGTTTCCCAAGGCTCAGAAACCAGTCATCTGCTACTCTCTACATGTTTATTTACACTGTCACATGCAGTCCCTTAGCTTTAAGCTCCATCTGAATGCAATGACTCCTATGTTTATGTCTCCAGTTGAGACCTACTGAATGGGCCTCAGCCTCTTATCTCCAACGGATTTCTTGACCTCTCTACCACCTAATGAAAATCAGACATCAATAACAGCCCAAACATAACTCTGGATTTCTGACCCCCTAATTTGGCTCTTTCCCATCCCAGTGCTCATGGGGAAAAAAAGTCATTCTCTAAAATGTCTTTGTCTTTTCCATGCAGCCACTTCTCTTAATTCTATGTCAGTCTTTCCTTTCTTTCCACCTGCACTGCCAACACTTGGTCCAGATCACCATCCCCTTTCTCCATCCTCCCATTCAGTCTCCTCATAACTGCTTCCAGGCTTTGCCTTACTTCCAATCTATTCTCTTCATAACAGTCAAAGTGATCTCTTCAACACAGAAAGAAGATTAGGTTATTCTGTACTTAAGAACTTAAAATGGTTCCTTCCCTTTATACTTCAGGTAAAATTCAAGCTCTTTCCATTTCCATCAAGGCCCTGTGGGACCTGCCTTCTGCTTATCTTTCTAGCCTCACCACAACCTGCTCAGTTCTTACTCACCATACTACAGATGCCTGACCTTTCTGTGCCTCGAACCTACCAATTTGTTTGGTTTTGCCAGATAACCTTTACTCTTGCCAGTCTCCCTCACATGGATCCCCATATTCTTGTCAGCCAACAGGTAGCTCAATGATTCTTCTTCATAAGGATCTTCCCCGATCACTCTGTCTAAAAGTGCATTCACCCCTAAATCTGGGTCTGGCCAGATTAAACTCTACCATATTACACTACTTAATTTTCTTCACAGCATTTATCTATAACTGAAGTTATCTCAATTTGTTGTTTGTTTTCTTGTTATCTCTCACCACTAGGAAGTCAGTTTCATAAAAGTAGTTACACTTTCTGCTTTCTTTACCACTGTGTCAACACTTAAAACAGTTTTTAGCTTAGCAGGGGCTCTATAAACAATTGATGAATCGATGAGTGAATCATCTCATTTAATATCTCTTGCTATTATTTCCATTTTACACACGAGGAAACTGAGGCTTTGGAAGGTAATTCTTCCCCAATTTTTCATCATTGGAAGTCTCCAATGATGAAACTGGAATGGAATCCGGGCAAGATTTCAAAGACTGACTTCTTTAAGTACTTTAAAAGTAGCGATTGTCTGAATCCAACATTTGCACTAAAGTTTCTTCAAGTTACTTTTATCAGCTCCCTGACCTTTTCCTTTTTCTTTGGTTTATCTGTTTCCTTCATATCACCACTTCCTTTCCGTCAAAACTCTCAACTGATGTCTTATGCTTCATTTATGTTTCCTTAGCCATTACATACCTTTATCATACCTAAAGCATCAATAAGTAAATTCAGAAAATAAGAACATGGGTCATTGGAAAGTAGAAATACATAGAGTTTAGTAAGCATAGTTAAAATCTTATTTTATAAACCAGACTATCTGGAAATCTAAGTCTAAGAAGTCAAAGTATAATATTTGGCCTAAATTATATGATTGGAATCCACATTTATCAAATGAACCAAACAATAATTTTTTTTTGTTTTGTTTTAGTCTCCTCAAAGTTTAGCCAACTTGTCTCTGGAATAAAAAGTGTAGGATGGATTTACCTGGTTCACTTAATATGCTTTTTGGATGACTATGAAAAGATTATCTAGTGTCTACACTTCCTGGAATAAGATGAGAACCTTATGTGTTTTCCATGATCAAAGTGTTTAACAAAGGTCAAGTTACTTCCCTTGCACTTCAAAAACAAAAAAAAATCTAGATACTTTGGTGAATTATTTAATGTTTTTCACTTTATGTAATATCAAAAATGAGTTGGGTGGGGGAAAATCCATTCTTTCCATCATATCACTCACCTCAAGACAGACTCAGTCCTGTCCTTTGTTAGCCTCCTTTTCAGGATGATTGTAACACATCACATCAGTATTCATAGTGAAGACAAATTAATCAAAGATGTCTTTTTGTTTTTTATAAAAGTCATACAATCTTATGTGAATTTTACATAGATACAGAATATGCTAAAGATATAGAAGCAGCTCAGTGCACAATGGTTCATGTAAGTAGCTAAATCAGGTGAATGAACTTACATGCATATGTCACACAAACAACCTCTGAGAAATTACCAGCTCCCATTCAGTCCTGCTGTGATTTGCCCATCATCACACAGTCATGTCTTAAATTCCAGGTTATTAAACTGACCACTAAGAAGATTGAGTAACCGAGTGGAAAATCTAGAATCTGGTCTATCTAGAATCAGATAGACCCCGATTAAGACCCCAGCCTTCACCCCACCCCCTACAACTCTCATTTGCTATTAGCTGGTGACCTTGGAAAATTAGAAAGACTACCAAAAAAAAGTAAGAATTTGTTTGTGTGCTGTGTATTTCTGTATGTTTTCCCTTTTCTCTCCACATAAACATTTTTTCAGAATAAATTACAAAACAAACAAACCAAAACAAAATAGGACTATTGTCTAGTACCTCTTCACATCTACCAACTTTATTTATTGAATATCTAATAATAATCTACACAACTCAGTGGCAGCACCAGAACTTCCATAATTTAAAAGTCTGCAAAGAAAATCTGGTTGTAACAGGGACCTGGAGGAAGTCTTGTAAGAATATAAGTTTTACTTAATATGTTATATATAGATCTTAAGATAGTGATTTTTAAATTTATAATTTATAAAACATTGATAACACCAATAATTATCTGTAGCAAGGTATGTTGTTACTTTGAGGAGGAAGTTTTGGGGTGCTGATGAAGATTTTGGAAGATTTAAAACACCATCTCCAAGAAGCCACTGATAGAAAATACGGGCTTCATGGGATAGGTGTCCTCAGCCCAAATTACATGGAAAACACTCACAAAATAGTTGTTTATCAAATGAACTAATAAGTTAATAAATAACTGAATAGATCTAGTTGTCCTAGTCAAATGAAATACTCAAAAAGTTTTTAGATCCTGAGAACTGGAAACCTGAAATTCTTATTTTTCTATTCATTTCTATATTTTTCAAATTGTCTAGAATAATCAAGGTTTACTTGGGAAAAAATTGAACATGAAATTTCATACACAGCATGTGATCAAAAGATAGAGGAAGAAAAACAAAATGTTAGCATGGGCTCTAAGCAATTTCTTTTTCCTTCTATTTCTTGACATTTTCCAAATTTTCTATTATGTAGAAATTTTTACCATAAATAATTCCCATAAATAACAATAAAAGGACAGAATCAAAATTGTTTTTAAGAATTATTAAGTGCCTTCTACATACAGAGTTGGGTTAAGCTGACAGACCATTCGTTTGTTCAGCAAACAGGTACTGAGGACCTGCAGGCACTGGCAAATAAGCAGAGACCCAGTGATAGCCTACATGAGCTCACCAGTTGCTGCAAGAGAGCCTGGTAAAGAGAACTCCAAGAGAATTATTCAAAGGATCATCACAGCAGAAGAATACCTATGCAGGTGTGAAAGGGGCTGAAGAGCAAGGGTTATACAAGTGGGATAGGGGCTGTCTAGAGGACATGATCTTTACAGTAAATTTGAATACAATTTATAATTTGCACCATTGATAAAAAGATGTGGAGAGAAGGAAAAACAGCATGGCCAACAGTAGGAAGACCAAACAAGGTCACATTTTTAGAAAAATGCAAGTTACAAAAAGAGTCACAAAGTGGTTAGAGATAAAGCCAGACAAATCTGAAGAGATTCAATTACATATGTGTGTGCAATGCTAATTGCTTTTATTTTTCCTAAATGCACAAAGACCAAAGTAGGATGATTTGACACTTTCCCCACACACTATTTTACATTGAGAAGATTTTAAACTTATCACCTTGATTCTTCTCTTTACTTTTTGCTCCAATAATGAATAAGAAATTGGTACTAAGTGTGAAAGCTAATAAGAGGAATACCATACAAATGAATGAGAATTCAAACATAATAATTCCAGGCTATCAAGCAGTCTTAAAAGTGTTTCTAAAGTTTCTATTGGCTAGATAAGAAATAATCGAAAGTCTTAAAATTTCAAAATGAATCTAGCTCAAAGAGCTGTCAATCTCCACATTAATGTCACTGATAGAAATTTCAACACAACAAAAAATTGAGAATGGTTAATATTGCCCGATTTAAGTTTGACAAAAATGAAAAATTACATAAATTATATTTTTTGTAGCATTGAGACACAAAACCAATTAAAAAAACTAAACTAGCGGTAGCCAAAACTACACACAGAAAATGTTTCTGGCCAAAGAGAAGAATTTAAATGGTTTTGGAAAATTTAGATCTGTATTGTTTGAAAAGAAGAATTACCTTTAGAAAAGTAATAATCACAAAGGAAAATTCCAAGCATAAGCTATATTCAGTAGAACTTGACATGGGTAAAATGGATTCATGAATCTAATAGTTATTGTAAAAATTAAATGAAAGTGATGCTGCTAAACATTAGTTCAGTAAAATTAAAATTAAAATGGAAAAACTGCCAAGGATTTCACTAGGTAATATATATATAATCATCAGGGAATTAAATTGGTCTAATGGAGTTTTTTTCCTCCAAAATTTATCTTTAAGGAAAACTCATAAATGTTGGTATATTCTAATTAAATATTTGTTTTCATAAAAGTTGAGCCAAAACATACTTGGTATCAAATCACGGGTTCAGTATATTTTCTACCAATAGGAGCTTTTAAAAGAGGAATGGACAAAGGTAAGTTCTGCCTTTTACAAAGATTATCCTGGTAATGGTGGGTATGGACACAGTAAGGATTGAAGGCAGGTGAGACTTCAGGATATTTTTACACTAAGAAATCCCTGGCAAAGTAGAAGTGTGTGGATTTACAAACTATTTAGACTGTAGAATCTGGAGAAGCCTGAAAAATCTCTGAAATAAAGAATGCAAAGTTAAAAGAATTCAAAGGCCTATAAGGGATTATGCCTCTATCACTTAACCTTAAACTATCCCTTTATCTGCTCACAGTGTCTGAAAGGAAGAGATATCATTTGGAATCAAGTTTATGCTAAAAGGCTATGTGCTCTGATTTCATGGGCTCACATGAAAAAATTTACTTCTCAGAGTATCACATAATTTCAAAGCATTTTCACAAATATTATAACTTTTAATGCTTACAACACTTTATAGATGAGGAAATTGGGTCTCAAGGGTGAAAATTGATTTAGCTAAAAATCACAAGATTCATAGAGTTAGATTTTCAAAATATTTATCACTACAGATGTCATGATGTTTCCCAGCTTGGAGTGGTTTCTGCCTCATTTTCTATTATGCTTAATATGTTTTATCAGTAAATTATTATATTTTTCATCAAGTGGATGTGTTTAAAATATAGTGGCCACACTGTATTGCCATGATATTTATTGTGATTTTGATATTGTCTCTTAGCATCATTGTTATTTGTATAGGTTTCTCTAAACTATCTCTTGAATGACCACAGACAAATTGTACTTTAATTTAAAATGCAGAGAATGTCTTCTTGTCTATCAGTGATTTCTATCAAGTTTGCTATACCAGCTGTTCATATCCTAATACGTATGAGTGTGTTACCTGAGTTACCCTCAACTTTTGCCTTCTACTCCTACATTAGCAAATCCCTATTTTGGAGGGTGGATGGTTTTCTTCCAGGTATGCAAATTTTGATTATATTCTTAAATAAATGAATGATGATCATTTATACTTCAATATAATTGCATTGTAATTACAGTTTTATAATAAATACCCTGTATAGTAGAAACTGAAGTTTCAGTTAGGTGGCTTTTTCCTTTCAGACACTTGACTCATTTTTAGAGGAAATAAATATTGAATCTTTAAATACTATAGAGTTAAGCACCATAGAATATATTTGTTTAAGCTCGGTCTCTACTAAAATCTCTAATAAAAACTGATAATTTTGCTGATTGTCTGTTAAGAAATCAATCAATTGAAGGTACTATGAATGGATATAGAAGATGCTTGTTTACTTCACTAATATTGACTTTATGTGTATTTATTCTTGTCCTAGATGAAAGAGTAGGAAAGCTTTTGTTTCTCTATTTGTTCTTGTTTTTTGTTGTGATTCCTGAACATATAATTCTCTGCTTATAGTAGTCATTCCTAGACTCTTTTAACAGACTGATATTGAAGTAGCACACTGACATACAAACAGGAATGAAGATTAAATATTTTAGACAATAATTAGATATTTTCTAATATAAATATTGGTTAGAGCCAGGTACACAAAATCCAGTGATTGCCATAATTTTTATTCCTGTATATTTGGGTATTATATAGAAATAGGCATCAAATCATATTGCTAAAGTCTTGCCATATTTTTTTTCTGGTGTATCATATCTTAAAAAGTGAGGTCTTTATGTATGCAAAAGTCATAGCACTAAGCCTTTGGTAAAAGGCCACTGCTATGGGATTGAGTATCTAGTACTTACAAAGATATTTAGACTAGACAGAAATTAATTTTAAACTGAAGATATGTTAAATTTCCATTCTAATTGTTTCCCATGTAAATAACTACATAAATCTATAAGATGTCTAGAAAAAAAAATCAAAGGTCAGCACTGATGAAAAATTTCTCTCTCTGCACCAAGGTGACATATACACACATGGTCTGAAGATGAAACCTTGCCTTTGTGAACATTGTGTATTTACCAAGAGAATGAATCAACCTCAGTACAAATCTCTGCCCCTTACCTACTCAGATTGACATTCATCACCACACTGTCTGTAAAGAAATTATTCCCAGCTCTCTACAAACTTTTGTCGTGCAAATAATGCAACACCTAGGGTGCACCATATTCCATCTGCCCTTGCAAGCAATCCCAGAGCACTAGCATCAGTGTTCAAACCAGCAATTGCCATGACTGGACCTGATCTGTTTGTGTTATCACTCCGCTACATTTGTATTTCCCTCCCATTCCTTGCTTTTTCTCCTATGGGTATGTGTATCTGAAAAATAAAATTGACCCTCCAAATTACATTACCTAGAATGTCCAAAGAGCAGATCAAAGAAAATTTAGGAAAAACATTCTCAAACTATGAACTTTTAGGAAGTCAGGAGGCTCTTTCCAGACGAGAGGTGAGATAAGGAGAGTAAGAAAGGGAGCAAAGAAAAAACAAACAAACAAACAAACAAAAACAAAAAGGCAAGACTGTAAACATCTAGATCCAAAATCAACTTAATTTAATCTGGACAAAATAGTCCTGCTGTCTTCATCCTCCCACTTCGCCTCTGGTTAATTTTTTTATCTCATATTCTCCCTCTTTTTGACTTCCCTCTTTGAAAATTTTCCTTTCCTTTGTCACTACAATATGCAGTTTTATTTTTTTAATCTATGATTTATTCAGTGTCTGGTGAAAAATTAGGTATGGGAACTATGAGTTTATGCCTTTTGTGTCTCCTATACCTGATTTCATGTAGGTTACAATGTCAAGAAATCCACTAATTCACATGTCATCATCATCATCAATCATCATCACAAAAAAGAGCAGATTGAAATGACTTGAAAAATGCCAAGAAAAGGTGATAAAAAGTGTGCAATTCAATGGAAATATTTTGTGGCAAAAGTGACATAAGAGAACATAATAGAAGAAGTAGGATTTGCCCAGAACCTTAAACACCTTGAGAAAGTATAGAGGTGGGTGTTAAAACTACCTCCTGTTTGTTTTCTTTTAATCAATCATAGAAGAAAAAGAAAGAAAAAAGAAAGAAAGAAAGAAAGAAAGAAAGAAAGAAAGAAAGAAAGAAAGAAAGAAAGAAAGAAAGGAAGAAAGAAAGAAAAGAAAAAAGATCCCTTCCCAGCTCCAGGCCTAGCCCCCAGATCATTAGTGGAACCAGTTTCTCTGGCAAAAAAGATTAGAATTTATACCAAAGGCAATGAGAAGAAATCAGTAACCCTTCACTTTTTATTTTACTTTTTAAGCTGTAGATTACATTAAAAAAAGGATGAGACTTCAGACTGATTAAAAAAACTATTACAATTTTACAGGTGAGAAATAATAAAGCCATGAATTAAGATGATGGCAATGGAGGTGTCAAAGCAAGAAGTTATTAGAGATTATTACAAAGCAAAATTTCAGGACTTGGGGAGCATGTTAATGTCTGGATTTAGGAAAGGTAGTAAGTTCCGTGTTTCTGAGGGATGAGTCTAGAGATGGAGAATCAGAGTGATCAACACATAGTAGGCAATGATACGTAACCAAATGGAGAAAAGAGAACACAGGCGAAGGTCTGAAGTTCATGGGAACGCCAAATAGACAAACATGGAGAACTGATAGATAGATAGATAGATAGATAGATAGACAGATAGATAGATTGACTAGTATATATAACCCACAAATATATAACTAGTTTATGTGTGAGTATCTACATAAAGAAATATATGTTCAAGTATATGAACAATGTAGAAACATCTATATTTCTATACTGGTTAATTGTCACTGGTGAGAGGATAGCAAATAGTCCAGAACAAAGAAAGAACTAAGTTCAAGCTAACTACTCTGCCCCTATACTTACTTACACAGAACAAAAGAGAAAAAGATAATATAGGCCCTAGCCGTAGTCTTTCCTGTAACAAAGTACATTTCAAACTTTAGCAATGATAAAGGTCACAGGCAGGTTTTTAGTAGGACATTTTTTTTCAAATTAATAAGTAATTCTAATCACATTCCCAAATCTCTAAATTATGGAGTATTTAGAACTTAATAGGACTGCTTACCAAATTCAATTAAATAATTTTCATTGAATGTCTGTGATGTGCAAGGCACAGTCCATGTTTATAACATGAGATATATATTTTTAATACAGATGGAAAAATGAAGAATTATGTCCAGGAAATGAGTCTTAACTGTTATGACTCATAACAAAACTCATCATATACCTCACATACCATAACTCATATACTCCTAACTGCCATGCTATAGTGTGGTAGATCTGCCTGGCATTACAACTTTATTAGAACCAGAGAACACTCACCTTCACCTGCCTTCTTAAAACCATCATTGTCCCCTAACATTATTTAGAAATTCTAAACAAAGTTTGGCTTCCAGTTGCCATGGCAAAGAGGCACAGAGCAAGAGGATTAGGAAGTCTTGAGTAAAACTGAACCCTGCCTGGTTGTTGCCGTGGCAAAGATTAACTTTGGCCTTGTCCGTGTGTGCATTTTAGATATTAAATAAAATATTTGAATTATGCATAGAGTTACCATTGATGGCTCTCTACATTTGGCTCTATTTCTTTATGCCTTTACAGCATACAATATAAATTTTGTTCCCCAAAAGTTTATTATTTCCTGTAGGCACTAAACTAATTTTAACACGTTAAAATGAAACATAGAATCCAACTCATTTGTTGCTAAAAAAGAAAAATAAATAATTTAAAGCATTAAGAATTTTCCAAATTATACATTAAATCACAAAATGTTTCTTGCAACTTGAAAGGATTATAAACAATATTTGCAGATACAAATGATTATATCTGTATATGTTTTTCCACAAATAAGCATATATCTCAGGGAGTCTACAAATGTCTTTTAGAAAAATGTTTGCTCTCAATATTTATGTGAGCAACTGAAGATAAAGTTGAGTTTTCAAAATAAATTTATGTATATCCATTTATTTGCTATGGTATAAATCATTCAGCAAAGTTGATATAAAGGTTTCTAGACCCCATCATATTATTTCAATTATAAATTCAAAGATGTGTCTTATGGTTAAAAAAACATCCTGTAATAGAATGAGTTGAATTTTTATTCACAAAGGAAATATTTCACACTCTGATTTAAGCATATAATAGGATATTTGGTCTATTCAGGAGGTTGGGAAGTTTGCCTGGAATAAAAAGCAATGGAGCTAGACCTGAAGAAAATAATAGAAGTTAAATGAATATGAAGAGAAGAAAAATATTCTGGCTTACAAAATGTCTCAGTATTTCTTTATGCTCATTTAAAAATGCTTTTCGACATTTCCTGAGTGGGAATTTTAAATGAAAATCTGTTCTGATTTGTGATAATATACATATATCACTTCATTGAGATTATTATTCTTTATAATTTACTTTTTATTATCATAAGCTTTAAAGGGATGGTAACTTGATAAACATTTTCTGTACTAAGACAAATGCTGCAAATATATAGATTTTTAAAAAATTCACCTTTGCAATAAAAAGCAAAACAGCCACAACAACAACAACAAAAATCTTATGTTGTTTTTCTTTCCTCTTTCTTTCCTCTCCAAATAGAAATTGTCAATGTAACATGCTCAAGAGGTAGCTACTTCCCTGACTTTCAGAGGAAAGAAGAACGGTAAAAGTCAAAAAAAGACTTCAAAGTGAATTGTAATAAGCAAGTTGTTTTAAAATACTTTTTATACTTTTTGGAATTTCTACAAAAATTTTATTTTCAATGTCCTTTTAGATACTACATCATAAAGAGAAATATTAAATATTAATTATTAGTTACATTCTATAATCTATTGAAATGTACTCATGATTCATATTGACGCCGCTCAAGAACTATCCATTGAATAGACCATAAATGTGCAAAGATTTCAAACTTTAATAGGCACTGGAAGTCCAACTAGTTGCATTTTCCTACTGAATACAGCATTTGCATGATTTTTAAGAGTTTAAATATTTCTATCTCATCAAGGCTGTAATATTTACCCACCACCCAGGAAGGGCGGTGGCTCCACAAGAATTTCTAAAGCAAAAATGTATTAAAACTATTAACAAGAAACTAAAAACTTGATTTAAAATACATTCTGTGATAAAAATTGCAGAAAGTTAATATTTTACTAAATATCTCAATATATTTTTGAACTATTATATACCCAAGTATTCAATAAAATATGTCAATTAAATTCAAAATTTGAGGAAGCAAACTTCAGGTCTGAAAAGAGGGAGTGGCTTACATACAACCAAAGCTGTTTTATGACTTTTTAAAAGATCAAATTTGTTAAAAGAATAAAAACTCACTTATTTTATCATTAAAAAATTCTCAGGCTTTTATAAATGTGTGTTATTGTCACTTTGGAAGTTAAGTAATAATGTTGCTTTTGTAATATCTTTGAACAGTTGTAAATAAAGATACAGATAGACATTGCTTTCCTTTTAAAATTGTATTTTTTGTCCCGAAACATTTATGTCTTTGTAAACAGAAACAATGTATTCTGTCACACAACTAGCTATGTCTCCCTGAGACAACAATCTTGATGGTTTACAGCAGGCTTCTCACTTCCAGTTACCAACACATTTAAATTATTTTTATGTCTATTTCAAACATTCCTCCAAAAGAGAAAAAATAATTTAAAAAATATTAATATCCTTGTACTTACCTGTCACAAATACTTCTGTGTCCAGAAAGGCAAAGCCAAATGCCAAGAGTTTAAGCCACAAATACATGGTCATATCTGGAAGTCAGCCGTGTCCCTAAGAAACAGCATGCGTCCTTCTGAAAAGCAAAATAATTGTTATCTCTGTAGAAGTTTTTCTCTGTAAAAACGAATCAAAAATGTAAAAGTAAATAAATAAATGCATACTCTCCACTGTTGTCTTATCAGACGAGGAACAATTTCCTCCTCTGTTACCCTAAGAACAAACCACTTGCTAGCTGCATGAACTGCTAGGTGATGATGTCAGATTCGGTTTTACTAACTTCTCCAAAAATACTGTAAGGGTCCTCTTTGCAGGAAGTCAAAAAAGTTGTTCTAAGTCAGTAGAATGGCATTGCACTTCCTTAATTCAAGTAATTACACCAAGTTAGAAAGCCTTTTAAAAGATTTTCCCATCAAGGAAGATGTTTTTAAACCATCCAAATAATGCTCCTTTACAGTATCCATTACCATTTTTTTTAAATTAAATCCCCACAAAATAATCAATAATTTTCTTACTTAAGAGATGACAAACAGATTCAGCATAAGTATAACAAAATGGGTGTTGGCAAGATGACTTAGTAGAAAGTATCAATATTTGACTTACTGAGACGGCCAAATGAATGAAAAAACTACTAATCTGGTTATTTTTGGCAACCCAGTATCATTTACCATTAGGGCATTCAAAACTCAGCAATATGACAGTTTTAGCAGTAAAACCCATTTCTTATGCAAAAGCACTTTCAGACAGCTTAACAGTTTTGCCCCAAATCTTTCACAGATATCCTTGTGAAGCTAGGAGTGGAATCAGAATGTCATTTCTACTATAGTTACAGCAAACCCTGCTTCCAAAAACTAATGTTTCTGTGACTTAAGATGTTCTTGGCGCTACTGATGAGGGAAAGGACAGTGAAAACCAAGAGATACCTTTAACAAAAGTTAACTTGTTTCCTTTTTCTCAGCAATACTTTTTCAACTTTTTTAACAAATAAGACAATGAATTGTATTAACACAATGCTCTTCACCATTCTGATGTTCTTAGTTAAGTCCATCTATTAGGAAAATGCTTACTGGCAAAAAGTATAAATTCAACAATACAATTAGATGAATTGGTTTTATTAATACAATATCTATATGCCTTTAAAAATAAAAGTACACACATGTGCAACTCATTTATTTGAACAATAGATAATGCTTGGGGGACTTTTAGACAGACAGAGCCCTTGTGGTAATTCTGCAAACCCTAGTTTGGAAGCATTATTGTAGGGTTCTTATATTTAAGTAAATAAATCTTTTGATACTTACAAACTTTTTTGTTTTACTCTTACATTGGCTGCTAGGAACTACAGAGCCAAATTTCTATCACACTTTGTGCAAATGGAAATAACCCCACAGCTTAAACTCTAGGTAATAACCTTTTAATAAGATTGTAGTTAAGAATATTATTTTACTATGATTATTATTATATTTAACTTATGGAGCACTTACTATGTGCAGGAACTATGCTTTGCACTTTACATATATTGTATAATTTGTACGATACCCTTGAGCTAGATAATGTTATTATTCCCCATTTTATCTGTGATGTTCAGAGAGGTTAGTTGAGTTGCCTAAGATCTTGCAGCTAGGATGTAGACAAGCTATATTTAGAACCCAAGTCTCCAAGTTTAATTTTGCTTTCCTTACTCACCTTACTATTGCCCTTTATTTTTCTCATCCCTTTTACCAATCTTTTTGTACTATGTAAGTTTATAATACTCGAAAAGATAGACCTTTGAATCAGTGAAAATGAAATTATTCTCTTTTTGCAAATGTATTTTTAAATAAGATAACTGTGCAAGTAAGCACTAATTTTCATGTGGGTAGGCCTAATAAAACATCAGTGTCAGAACTCATGGATTTGAATACTCAGCTCCTCAGCCTATGTCTTAAAATACATTTGCAACAGAAAACTCTTTGGGGATTTGCTTTAAATATCTTTAAGCAAATACTTGTGTTCTGTGAGCTTGCTGTTATGGCAGAATATTTGGCAAAATTAGAGGCCAGGAGAAAAGTGTATATGATCTTTTAAAAGGAAGAAAAGTATATAAAATATACTCTATAACAATGTGAGTTTAGCAGCCTTAAACGGACATTTTAAAAGGGATTTGTGGCTTTAAAAAAATAGTAAGAAGTTAGGAGATTCAATTCCATTTCAGACAGGTGAGAAGACAGATTCTACCCAAGGAATCCAAGATAGATTAGCAACAAATGAGTTGCATTATATGTGTTAATCCAACACATATATAATGTTTTAACATATTCATTGTGTTAAAATTGAGTTTAGTGTCTATAGGAAATACTAGAATTTTAAGCAGCAAAATCTGTACTGTGTATTATAAAGGTGTAAAGACATACAGCTTGAAATACAGAGACATCAGCAGATGAATGTATATACAATTCTGATGGCTCAGAATGGAGACAGTGGCAACCCAGAGGTTTGTTAGCCTGAGGTCCAGGCTGTCAGGAGGGTAGGCAAGAGGGAAGGCCCTAGCAGCTTGTTAGGAGACAGAGCCAGGTTGTCCTTGATGGTATACTACACTAAGCCAGACATCCAGGAAGGACTCCGGGTAGCAGCTTGTCTTTCCACAGGGCATCTGGGGAAATTTCTACTGTATCACATACAGGCCTGGCATCCAAGCCTTCCGCTTGCATCAGCAGAAAACTCTCAAAGAAAACAGGAGGAGTATTTATGACATACTGATGTGATCCACTCTCACTGATTCCCAGAGGGAGGGTGGGCTGGTTGCTGATAAATGGGTATTTTGCAAAGAACAACTGAGTCTAGGAAATGGGCAGGAAGTAACACCAGATTTCATACATAGTAAATACAATGGCACTTGTTGAGTAGCTGAAAACAGTATGTATCCAAAGTCATCTCAAATTTTGATGAAGAAAATTTCAAAATAATCATAGTTAATCAACTTACAATAGATTTTTAAAAGCTTAAAAACTTAATATTTACTTAAATCAATAAAGTCATTTTCCAGATTTTTAAGGCTACCTACAGTAGAGGTTATATAAAGACAGAAACAGATTACAAGTTAACTACAGAGGCAGATGTTACTCATTTGTTCATGCATTCATTCACTCATTCATTCAACAAATACAGAGCAAGTTCCTAATGTAATCCAGTCATTTTACCTGACATGAGGAAAAAATGGTGAGCAAAAACAGGCATGCTTTCTTTCCTATCTACACTTTAGTGGAAGACACAATAATTAATTATCCAGTCATCATGACACTTTCATCACAAAGGCAATACTTCCACACTGTGATTTAAGCATATAATAGGATATTTGGTCTATTCTGGAGGTTGGGAAGTTTTCCTGGAATAAAAAGCAATGGAGCTAGACCTGAAGAAAATAAGTTAAATGAGTATGAGGAGAAGGAAAGTATTCTAGGCAGAAATAATAAATTTAAAGGAGGAGACTGTGTTCAAGGAACAGGAAGAGATGTGAGGCTGATGTAGAAAGAAGCAGAGCCTGGAAAATAAGGAGGTTTCAGAGGGAGATGATGGCCAAATCTTGCCAGGCCTTGCAGGTTCCAAGAATATGTATTTACCCTAAGAGCTATGAGGAAGTTATGAAGCATTATAAACATTGTTCTTGAATTTTCTTACCAATCGTCTCCATGTTGCCAGATTTTATACCATCATTTGTTTCTCTACCCTCATATTATGTGACTTCTTAGTAGCATTAAACAAAATCTTTCCTTCTCTAACCATTATGTTTTGTCAGCTTCCAAAACATCATTACCTACAAATTTAAATTTCCTTAACCCTTATTGGCTTTTCCTCAACAGTTGCCATATTGGGTCCTCTTCCTCTGTCTGCCCTTTTTGTCTCTTTGAGACAGTCTCAGCTCTGTCGCCCAGGCTGGAGTGCAGTGGCACGATCTCAGCTCACTGCAACCTCCGCCTGCTGGGTTCAAGTGATTCTTCTGCCTCAGCCTCCCCAGAAGCTGGGACTACAGGCACGCACCACCATGCCCAGCTAACTTTTTGTATTTTAGTAAAGATGGGGTTTCACCATGTTGTCCAGGCTGGTCTGAGCTCCTTGAGCTCAGGCAATCTGCCCACCTTGGCCTCCCAAAGTGCTAGGGTTACAGGTGTGAGCCACCGCTCCCAGACGACTTTTTTTTTTTTTTTTTTTTTTTAACCAGGGTCTCTCTCTGTTACCCAGGCTGGACTGCAGTGGTGCGATCAGGGCTCACTGCAGCTTCTACCTCCAGTGCTCAAGCGATCCTCCCACCTCAGCCTCCTGAGAAGTTGGGACTATAGGCGTACACCAACACACCCAGCTCAATTTTTTGTAGAAACAGAGTTTTGCCATGTTGCCCAGGCTGGTCTCGAACTCCTGGACTCAAGAAATCCACCTGCCTCAGCCTCCCAAAGTGCTGGGATTACAGACGTGTGGGCTACCTTGCCCAGTCTCTACCTAACTTTTAAGTACTACTAAGATACATTACAAGCTCAATTCTGTACCCACCTCTCTCTTTCTGTGTGAGCTCCTTCGTGGGAATAACTAACGAATTTATATTTCCAATCAGATCTATGATATATTTGAGATCTCTAGATTCACATTTTGCTACCACATTCTTAACTAGTCTACTAGATTGTCTCAGAGCCAACTCAACAGAACATAGAAGTCTTGACCCATCCTTTCTTTAAACCCATCCCAATTCTCAATCTTATTTATATCTGTAAATGCACCAGTATACACACAGTAACTTGCAACAGAAGCCTAATTTTTATTTTTTATTTCTTCTTTCCTGTTACAACTACTAAATCATTAACAAATCCCATTCATACTCTCTCCACCATCTATCTTGTGTTCTGTTTACAATTGTACCACTTAGAATCAAACCATCATCACTGTTCAGGCTTTTGACTAACTTCCAAGCCTCCATCTTATCTTCCTTCAGTATTTCCTCCAAAGAGAAATCAAACCGATTTCTGTCCATACAAATCAAGCTGGGATAAGTCCCTACTTAAAATCTATCAGTATTTTTCTTATTTGCATTTTTAATAAAATCCAACCTCTGTATTATTTCTCAACCCATTTAATACACTTCCACCTGGTTCACGTTATGATCTGGCCACACTGATTTTTTTCTATTCCTAGAAATGTCATGCTTTCCTATTTCAGGGCTTTAGCTCTTCATTCTTCCCAAGATGCTTTTCTGGTTCACCCCCACCAACCACTCTACATAACTTCCTTCTGGTAACAGCATAAATGTCACTTCCTCAATGGAGTTTCCCTGACCATCCTACATAAAAGAAGCCTCTCTAAGTTACTTTCTTTCTCAGAACCTTGTTTGTTTTCTCCAAATTCTGGGATATATCTGTATGTTCATATCCAACTCCCTGCCAAGAACACAAGCCTGTCCTCTAGATAAGGGGTCTCCAACCCCAGGGCTGTGGACTGGTATCCATCTGTGGCCTATTAGGAACCAGGCCACACAGCAGGAGGTGAGTTGCAAGCCATTGCGCATTACTGCTTGAGCTCCACCTCCTGTCAGATCAGCGGTGGCATTAGATTCACTAAGGAGTGCAAACCCTATTCTGAACTGCACAGGAAAGGGAACTATGTTGCATGCCCCTTATGAGAATCTAACTAATGCCTGATGATCTGAGGTGGGGTAGTTTCATCTGAAAACTATCCCCTGACCCAGCCCATGAAAAAATTGTCTTCCATGAAACCGGTCCCCAGTGCCAAAAAGGTCGGGGACCACTGTTCCGGATGATAGACCATGAGGCTTAGGCAGTACTTAATATAATGGTTGCCATATGTGATACATGTTAAATAAATGGAAGAATGAATGAGAAGATTTACACATGAAGCTGTGGCGTGGTCAACATATTGGGGGTTGGCAAGAGTAAGAATTGGGAGAACGGTGGAGAAGCTTGTGCTGTTGCACAGGCAAAGAATGATGACAGTAGAAGTGTTTACCAGTTAAATAAATTACCAAATTACTTAACTCTAGCAATTACAAAATTGTATACACATCCTTATCAATGAATGAAAATATAGGAGCACAAAGGAGAGACTACTTCTACATCTCTAAGATTTGTTCTAGAAATACATTTTTTGCATTCTGTCATTTTGTCTTTTGAAAATTTAGGCATTGAGGGCTGGGCGTGGTGGCTCACGCCTATAATCCCAGCACTTTAGGAGGCCAAGGCAAGCAGATCACTTGAAGTTGGGAGTACGAGACCAGCCTGGCCAACATGGTGAAACCCCGTCTCTATTAAAAATACAAAAATTAGCAGGGTGTGGTGGTATGTCCCCAAAATCCCAGCTACTCAGGAGGCTGAGGCACAAGAATCACTTGGACCCAGGAGGCGGAGTTATGGTGAGCCAAGACCATGCCACTGCATTCTAGCCTCGGCAACAGAGTTAGACTCCATCTAAAAAAAAAGAAAAGAAAAAAGAAAAGAAAACATAGGCATTGAGGAAAGAAATATGTGGTACCGTGTTTGGGTAAAATGCAAATACAGACAAAGACAAGTCTTACCACTGGCAAATTGACCAAGGTGGGAGGTGGTGCTGCTTTGAAAGTTTTTCTCATTTTGAGCACTAGAATCTTAACTTTCCTGGTCATCTTAGATACACCCAGTGCATATATACCTATGTCTCAATGATCAATGCCAACACTGTAGTTCTTTAATATGGTGTTTTAAGAAAATATTTTTCCTAGTGGCCAAGAAACATGGTTAAATCCTAGTTCTAGCAATGATCTCATCTCTCTAATATGGAGATAATAATACTTTTAAGTGTTGCCATGAGAACTAAGCATATTAAGCAAACATTCAATAAATGGTATAAAGTAAACACACTTGGTTATAATTAAACATACACCAACATAGCATACATCCTATTCCTCTTTCTAACCCCAACAGAAGAAATATAGGGAGGGAGAAGAGTTCCCCTAGGACCCGACCAGGAAACATTTTTGCGTTCTGCCATTTTGTATTTTGAAAATTTAGGCATTGAGAAAAGAAATATGTAGTACTTGATAAAACATATCTCTCTGCCTTTGTGTAAAATGCAAATACAAAGATAAGTAGAAAAGAAATATGTGTTCCCTTCTGCAGATGTCACAGGCAAAGTCCTGATGGGTACTAAAGATAAAGAAGAGGTGAAAGAGTTAAACTAGATATGAAAGTAAAGTATTCAACTGGCCTGAAATGAACTTTGGGTTGTTTTTACTCAAAAGTTACTAGGAAGTTGTGGGACCTGCCATATATATTGTTAAAAGATGGAAAGAGGAAATTAAATATTCTTAGCTTTATTAACTTAAAGATACTTGTTGGTTTCAAGATGCATCCTGACTTCGGCAACCCTAAAATATGTTTTATAAAATGTGCATCTTAGAATCAATGAAATACAGAAGCATAGCTGACCAGTGGCAAGATAATATATGATGTTTAATATTTATACCTGATTGAATCCAGACTGCTTAATAAGCCAGTAATAAATACAAAGAACTATACAGCATAGGTAATGAACTCTGAGACCAGTTTCCAAATCCATCTTACTGAGAAAGTCTTGTAACTTTTCACACATGAAGGGAGTCTTCCACTCTGGAGTGGCCTTCTGTGGATTTCATATTTTTCTTGTTCCATGAGGTCTAAGCTGAGATGTATGTGTTTTACTTCAGGCCTCACATTCAGTGTTACAAGCCATGTATAACATTTGTCGATTCCTTTGATGGCTGCAGGTTGCTGAAACCTCTGTCTCTCTGTCTCTCTCTGTCTCTGCATCTCTTTCTGCACTGGCTTTTGGCAATGACTTTCCTGTCTGGGTTCTGCCATTTGCATATCTTGATGCATAAAGACAGCATGGAGCAAGTATAGCAGAGGGTTTAAAATAGCTTCCAAATTCTATGAGGATACATAATGTTGGAAAATGTAACAGTATAAAATAGATGTCATAAATCCATCCATGGTCTATTATATATGCTTAATTATAACCTAGTGTGTTTAAACCATTTATCGAATGCTTGATTAATTAACTAATTTAGATTTCACGACAATGCTAAGATAGTATTATTGCCTTTTCAACATAATAGAAAATAAAAACAAAACATCATGCACACTTCACTGTATCTCTGCTGTCAGTGATGTTTTTCTCACACCATGTCTACCCAGCTGGTGTTCTGCTCACCTGCATGAATTTGTTTACCTTCATGTGCAGTTTTTCATCACTTGTCATACAACTCACATACTCTTTGTCATCAATTTGATGTGAAGCTGTATTTCATAGTGGTTTCTTCTTTGGTAGCTCTGATTACTTGAAAATATAATGGTCTGTGTTTTTTGTTGTTTTTTTTTTTATCCACAAAAAAAAAATTTCTAGAAGTCCATCTCTGAATCACACAGTGGTTTGAGTACACTGTGGAACAGCAACATAACATCAATAACTAATCAGTGGACAGTGTTACCAATGCTGCAAAGGGTGTACTTTCAAATTAAAATTTCGGCATTCATCTTGTAATTAATTCCAATAGAAAATGATCACACACACACACACACACACACACAAAAAAACAAAAGCTTCTTTGAAAAAGCTAAAGCGAATCTCAAAATTGAAAGAACATAGATGTACTGATGTTCCAAGTTTGTAACAGAGTCACAAGGTAAACAGTGACAGGTTACTTATGGATTGAACCCTACTAATCTAAAGTAAATAAAACTGGCCAGGCACAGTGGCTCACGCCTGTAATCCTAGCACTTTGGGAGGCCTAGGCAGGCAGAATGCCTCAGATCAGGAGTTCAAGACCTGCCTGGGCAACATGGCGAAACCCTGTCTCTACTAAAAATACAAAAAAATAGCCAGGCATGGTGGCGCACACCTGTAATCCCAACTACTGGGGAGGCCGAGGCATGAGAATCGCTTGAACCCAGGATGTAGAGGTTGCAGTGAGCCGAGATTGATCATGCCACTTCACTATAGCCTGGGCAACAGAACAAGAATCTGTCTCAAAAAAAAAAAAAAAAGGTAAATAAGAATGAACTAAATAAAATGAGAGCCAAACACATGTAAGAATGTATAATTTTGATATAATGTATTCCTAGAACTTCAATTTGTTGCAAGTCTCAACGATCACACTCTTGACATCTCAAAGTCATTATATATTGCTTTAGCCAATAAACACATTAAAAAGATTCATTGTCTACTCTGATTTGCCTAAAGTTTTTATCATATAAATTCTGATTATGCTGGCTTTAGTTCGATATGATCTTGAGTCTGTCTCTGGGTTGACAAAATGCAATGTAACAAGGAGGTTTTCTTACCCATTTTATTCTTAAAAGCAGCAGCCAGTATGCTGAGTTAGGTAGGTTCTTGCAGCTATTTCAACTCTCTTTTCATCACTCTGTATCATTCTTGAAACTTACTTCCTCCAATTTATCACTAATACCTCTTCATGTTACTTTCTAAACATATCTTAAGTTTATGAACTTCTTCCTGTCTAGACCATCACTATCTTAGACCAAGTTACCAACATCTCAAATAAACAACTGAAACAGCCTCTTAACAGTTTTGCCCATATTTCCTCTAATATTATTTCTCACTAGCCAATCCATTATCCACCTTCATCCTAAGAAGTCTTTTCTAAATAAAATCATATAGTGTGTACCATACCCCATTCCATCGAATTTAGGATTAAAAGAAAAATGCCTAAGAGGACCTCAAAGGGTCTGCATCAATGCTGAACTCTCAGTGAAGCCCCAACTTTCACCATATTTCTTGGCTCCTCATCCCTGTCACACAGGTGTTGGCTTAGACCCTGATTTTTACCATGGTCCTAGGAAGGTAATTGATTTTCTGTCTAGTGCCTTCTTCACCTTAAAAACTCTGCCCCTACCACCCATAATCATCTAGTAATATTCTTCCAATCCTTCAGGTATGAGCTCAGTTGTTCCTGTCCCCAAGAAGTCCTCCTTGTACTTCTCTGATTAGACCAAATACCCTACCATGGGTCTCCTAGCTTTTTTTTTTTCATTTTCTTTACGGCACTTGTCAGATTAATTGGGGGATTGTTTGATTAATTTTTGTTGCTTTCAGAAAATCATACATTCCATGAAGTCTAATACTCTAGCCCATAGGCAGAGGTGTACTACAATTAGTTGTTGAGTTGAATGAATAACCACAAAATATTTGCTGATGCTTTGGGGCTACCTAAGACTCTTAGATCTTTTCACAACTCTGACATAGAGAATAAATTTCCTGGGAAGAGGGTTAGAATTAATTTGAGTTGTAGAAAATAAAGGAGTATGATAATTTCTGAACACCTGAATTGAGGTTACAAAACTTTATCTGCTAACTTGTTTAGTAGAGCACCTTTATTCTTCCTACTTATAAATTCATTTTCTACCCTGCATGCAGGAAGAAACAAAATGTGCATGTACAACAAAAGTTATCTCCCAAAGATATAGTTCTATTTTAATGGAAGATCCTATTTCTCTAAACACTGTTAACGAGGGTTAATGTTATCTGCTGGAACAATTAAATCCTCAAATTTACAATGACTCAAACATAGCAGAAACTTATTTCTTCCCTCACGAAACAGTTCAAAGTGGCGTTCCAAGGTCGGCAGCTGATCTTCTCCATATAGGGATTCAATTAATAGTATGTTTCATTCTGAGACTCTGTAATCTCTTGGCTTTTCTGTTGTCTGCATTTAGCGGCAGAAGAAGAAGGAATGTGTGCATAAGGCACACACAATTCTTAAAGGCCTAGGACTGGAAGTGACACACATCAACTTGCCACCCATTCCACTGGCAATAACTACTCACATTGTCCAGACCCAGATACCAGGGGATGGAGGTGATGGGAAATGTATTCTCCATTTGGGCATTCACTAGCCAATCACAACTCTAAACTGTGGAAGGGAAGCATAAATATGAGTTTTGGGGGACAAGTAGCATTTCTGCCAAAAATAACTTGAGTTTGAACAAGAAAAAAATTGTCCAAGAGAACTTGATAGTAGAAACAAGAAAGTGCTGAATCATTCTACTATAATGTAGAGTACAGTGGGAATAAAAATAAGTAATACCTTATCTGTGTTGTCAAGGAGTTCAGTCCAGGGAGGAAAATGACAAAAGCACAACTACCTGTAATATAATATTATATGTGATAGATGTATAAACAAATATATGTGTATGTATGTTCAAGTTTTGATAAAATATAAGTCTGTTTGAGCCTTCAGGATTTGCTTAGATCTTTAACATTTCCTTTGTTTTCTCTTAGATGAATGCCAAGCATTGGGTTTTGTTGGTGCCAAAGGGATATTACTTTTAAAATGTTACTTGTTTTATAGACGTGCAGCATTTGTGATACCTTATTTCCTGCCAAATAATCTTGTTACTTTCATTTTTATGGACTGTTACTGTGTAAGGTAGTAATTTTTCATGTTACAAAAAATCTTGTAAAGTAAACAATATAACAAAGACATCACAGAAGTGAACTGAAGTGAAAATAGAAAAATATCATGTGCTTGCACAATTCTATGGGACTCACTTACCATTTAAAGTACCAAAAGAGGAGTTTCAGTTTTAATTACTTGTGTTTTTCTCAAAAACTACTACTAGTGGTAGTATAGTGCTCACTACATTTCAGGCACTGTGCTGAGCATTCACATGAATTTTCTCCCTTAATCATAGCACCAGGATGAGGGAGGTACTGTTAGCATCATCATTTTTGCAGATGAGTGAACGGGTCCAAATTAGTAAAGAAACTTCCCATAGCTTATTTATACTATAAGAAACAGAACTTATGTTTAAACCCAAGTCCCACGTTCAATAATATGAACCCTAAATATTCTACCATGAGGAGTTTTCACTGACAAATAGATCAAACTCTATGTAACTCAAATGGCCACCGAAATGACACAGAATCGAATAACATTCTAAATCAAACATACTTCCTATCTCTAAGAATAAACAGTGTAAACACATGCAATACAAAAAGAAATATTTTTAGGGAGTTGATATCTAATCTCTTCTATCTAACTTCTAAAAATTACCATTTGGGGCCCTCTTCTTTCTCCACATTTTCTCTTAAGATTTTATTGATTCCCACCAACTGAAATACTATAGGTTTCTAGGGATTCAAATATCCAACAATATTTTCTACCCTTAGCCCCAACCTCAATGCCCCTATTTTCTACTGCCTAAAATGAAAAGGCACTTGGGTGTTTCAAGGACAACCATATCCAAATCTAAACTCTTGGTTTTCTCACTTTTCTCACCTGCTTTCCTGCCCCAGCACACTCCCCTACCTTGATGAGGACACAGCTACTCAAGCCAGATACCTTGATGTCATCTTGGATCCTCCTTTGTCCTCATTCCCCATTCTCATTTGAAGCATCCAAGCCCAATCCAGAACCAAGTTCTCTCCATTCTGTCCTCTAAAATGTTTATCAATTTCATCTTCTCCTTCCCATATCCAATACCTCCATGTCCAGGCAGCACCATTTCTCTTCTGGAGACTGGTGCAGCCTCCTAACCTGTCTCCCTGCTTCCACTCTCACGCTCCTCTAAGCCGTTCCCACACTGCAGCAGAAAAGAGTTTCTTAAAATGTAAACAAGTCCATGCTATTTCCTTGCATAAAATCTGTTCAAAGGTTTTATTTGCAATTTAAATAAAATTCAAACTCCTTATCAGAGCCCATAAATTCCCGCGAGTTCTAGCCTTAACCTGGTTCTCACACCTGATCCTGCATGACTTTTCCACATTTGTCTTCATCCCATTACATACGCTGTTACTTCAACAGTTATCTTTCCCTACTACTTCTCATCACTGAATCCTTCTCAGTTTTACATCACTGCTTCACTCTCACCTTCTCAGCAACGTTTTCCTTGATCATCCTTTCTAAAGAGCACCCCCAACTATTCTCTATCTCATCTCAACTCCCATTTATTTCATAACATTTTTCAATAATTGTGAATTTTTATTTTTCACTTTATTTACTAACCTTTTTTCCATCTTCCCACTTAACAGTAAACTCCATAAGAGCAAGGGCCTTGCTTATCTTGTCCATCAAATCACTTGTGCCAGGAACGGTGCCTTTTTTTTTTTAACAAGATGCCCAATAAATATCTGTTAGCAAAGAAGATAGTGATGGTATAAATGAGTAAGTAGATAAATAAAAGATGTGCATTTCTTTTTTCTTGTGAGAGGAATCTCTAACATGAATGATTTTGTTAGAGAAACAGTAAAAATTTAACTCCTGCCACTAAGTTTTGAGACCCTTATACAAACAATTTACATTTTCTTGGCACAATATCCTCAAATATAAGATGGCAGATAGTATTTTACAACATTAGAAGTGAGTTAAATTAAATGACATATCAAGCATCTAGCACAGTGTTTTATATGTAGAAGGAGCTCAAGAAATCTTAGCCCCTTGTAGAACATAGGCTGTGATCTAGACATTGAAGCAAGAAGCAAGGGGAACTTATTTCTGTTGCTGGTCTTGCCACTTAATTTTTCTCTGACCACTTAACCACTCTTTTTATTTCCCTATTTAAGGAAAATTCTCTACCTCTTCCTACCTACAAAATTCTCTCTCACATTAGCTTCCTCAGCTAATGATTGGACAATCTGTCATTGCCTCAACCAGAAAAATTTAAGATAGTGTCTTTTTGAACTTTAATAGCAACTAAAGGGGAAAAATTAAAATGCTAACTTTTTTCAAATGATATCCTACTCCAATTTCCAAAATATTCCAATCTATAATTTTTAGCTATTTTTGAACATGAGTTTCAAAAAACTACAAGCCCATCTTTTCCAGCCCCTTACTTAACAATTTGATAACCAGTTACAAGCCCGTGAGAATCACCTACATGAAGGACCCTGCCATCATGCCTGCAGGTTACACTTGTTTTGGATCAATGGACTTTGCTTTCATATGTAAGCAGTTGGCTTAAACTAACTGTTAGGGGTTTGAGACCTTTGTTTCCTTTGAGAGACACATGGTGTTTTGGGGAAATGGTCAAAAGAAGCTGACCATTCCACTTTATGGTCAGCACACTGGCTAATAATCACACAGGTGCTTCATTCTCCAGCCTGAACACAAGAAGAGTTACCAGCTAATAATATTTCATATTGTGTAATTTGGCATAAACTAGAAAATCAAGGGGATGGCTATTTAATAACAAATAACTTCTTCACTAGATGAACCATCAGTTTATCCTAGTTTGGAAACATCTAGTTGAATAATAAATCTAGGACACTAAGAGCTATTAGCATTCTAAAATCTTCAGTTCTCATTTGATCCTCATTTTTAAACTAAAGGTGTAAATTAGATAAAACTAGCATTTTTCCCCCAAGTTTGAAATAAAGACATAAATTTTATCATATTGATAATTGAACCCTAATTGTTAAAAGGTCCACTGACTTGGAGGAAAACAATTCAACAAAACCCTCTGCCCTCCAGAATTTCCTGCTGTGGGTAAAGTGTGTGAGGTTAAGGATGGCCACACATTCTTTGACAAGACTTGAACGATAGAAAGAGACTTGAGAAAATGGCAGCTTTCCATAAGGAAAGGATATGCTTGAGGTGGTGGACATGCTAACCACCTTGGTTTGATTGTTATACAATCACACTATACCTTATAAACAGGTACAATTATTATGTTTCAATTATAAACAAAAGTGGCAGCTTATATGTCCTGTCTCTTGCATACTCATTCTTGAAGCCTTGAACCTTCAACTAAGAAATCCAACTACACTGTGGCTTCCACGCTGTGAGGGAGCCCAAGATAGCCACAAGGAGAAGTCATGTAAAGTAGAGATCAGCAAATTTTTCTGTAAAGGGCCAAATGGTAAGTATTTTAGGTTTTGCATCATATATGGTTTTTGTTGCAACTTTTCAACCCTGCAATTACAGAGATGATAGGGTATTTAAACAAACATATGTGGCTATCTTCCAATAAATCTTTATAGACACAAATTTGAATTTCATATGTTTCACACCTCATGAAGAAGCAGTCTTCTTCTTTAGATTTGTTTAAACATTAAAAAATTTGAAAACCTTTTTGTTTGTGGTCTGCACAACCACAGGCTGCAGATGGGTTTTGGCAGAAAATGAGAGAGAAAACGAGAGAAAAGAGATACTCAGCCAGCCCTCAATTGTTCCAGCCTATGGACATTTATGTCATCTCAGCTGAGGTCCCGAGCATCAGAACAAGATGAGTCATCTGCACTGGGTACTATCTAAATTCTTAGCCCCAAGAATCATCAGATATAATAATAATAAATTATTTTAAGCCCTAATTTTGGGAGTCGTTTATTGAGCAACAGTAGATAACTGAAACAACTCTTAAAGCAAACACAACAATGAAAAGCTACATTTAGTTTTAACTCTGTGACCACATCACTAGTATTACCTCTCAGCCTTTATAAATATACATGTAATATATAAAATAATTTTGGTTAGTAATTGATTTTCTTGGTGTCATTGATACATGCCATTATCAAAATCAGCAAAGTTTTGTTACAAATCATATTGAAAGGTGTAAGTCATAGTAAAACCAAATAGGAGATGAATTTTCTGAGTTTGCCATTAGAAATTAGGTAATAAATGAAGCTCTCAATGTCTCAAATCTAGATTTAAAGGAATAAAGAGTAATCTACTCTATAACTGACCTATTCATTTGTGCCATTTCAACTGCAATTCCTCTCTCTTCTGGTAACCCTTTGAATACATCCTCCTCTGCCACTCTCATTCCCTGTAATTCCAGAAAAGTTGTTTATAGAGGTGGGGCACAGGTCTAAGCCCATAAGGATACAGCATTTACCTGACCAGAAAAATTGGTTCTACAATGGACATATACCCCAATTGTAGTCATTGTAGTCTGGGCAATTTTAAGTGGCATTTTGCAGAAAGAGATTCTCACTTCTGTTTTTTGTTGTTGGGTGTGTGTGTGTGTGTGTGTGTGTGTGTGTGTGTGTGTGTACATGTGTGTTTGCTGGACTGAAAATTGGAAAGGCTGGGGTTTGAGTCTTCCCTTGCTACCATAGAAAGTCTAAGTCTAAAGCCAAAGCAGCTTAAATTCAACCATGGGAATGGGAACTAAGGGATGTAGAGAAATATGATATTGTTTGCATACTCAATCTAGTATGTCTAATCTAGTTATATCCCTAAACGTTTTCTCTTAGCCAATAAATTACATCTTTGCCTAAGTTAGATTAAGTCAAATTTTGTGACAGAAAGTGCAAAGTCCCCACATGGGAAAAGAGTTTCTTCCACTGAAATATTCATTTACTTATTCTTTAACAAATATTTTTAGACTTATATCTAGTATATTCAAGGCACTGGCAATAGGACCCAAGAACACAAAAATAAGTAAGAACAAAGTGCACATTCTACAAGCAGAAGCTCAGTACCAAGTAGTGAAACAGACTTATAAAAAATAATGAAAATGGAGTGTGATTAAATTGTCATGGCATTGAGACCTAAAGGAGGAAGTGATCAACTATGCTTGAGTGGGCAGTAGAAGGTGCACAGGGGACACCTGTGAGCTGAGTGGGGGAAGACAACAATTAACTTCCAAATAGGGGGTTAGCAGGTAGGAATGCAGGGAGGTTTCCAAAAGAAACATCTCATTTGAACAACTGTAAGTACTTTCTTTAGCAGGCACATAATATGCAGAAGAAGAATTTGGAGAGACGAGCTATACTCAGGCACTGAAAGATCTTGAATGGGATCCTCAAAGATTTGGATTTCAATCTGTGAGCAATCAAGGATCATAAGGCATTGTAAGCAGGAGAGGCATAGGGGAAAATTTATTTTTAATAAAAATCATTCAGTCAGTAGCACAGGATGGGCTTGACTGAGAGGACAATAATCATGACACCACGATGAGGATAAGAACCAAGGAAAAAGACATGAAGCTGTAGTAGGAGCCAGAGGTGAAAGCTATTAAAAATGCCTCATCAATATGTTTGGGACTGTCAGCAGGAGGGGAGCAGTGAAAAACTCCCAGATTATCCCCAAGCATTTAGAGTAGTCAAACTGGTAAGATACAGCTGATGTGGATAAATGTAGTTATTTCTCCATTCTTGCTTAAGTCTGATTTCTCCTGTTTTGCATCTTAAAATGCTTCCTTTTTCTTCCTCTCTGCTACCAATTCATCTCTATTCTCCCTCAACAAAGAATGTACAGCTTGGTAACAATCTAATTTGTTTTTTTCTTTCATCTTCTTTATGTCATGACTCTTTCAGCAAACTTTTAATTGATATACTTTTTCTCTCTCTCCCCCTCCCTCCCTCTTCTCTCTCTCTTTCTTTTCTTTATTTTGTCCATGCACTCACAATGTGTCTCCTGACTTAAAATTCCAGGAGGGGTGGGATGTGGAGTAGAGATGTGGTGGAGATTGCTCAGACTTAAAGCCTGAGCATTTTTCAGGCTGGGTCCTCTACAACATTTTGTCCATGTGGTATCTCACCAGCACATAGTGTAGAAAGTGTCACCTTGGCCTACAAGATGTAAAACAGCTAATGGAGGGCTCAAATGTAGCTCTCCACAAACTTCTCTCTTACTTTTGATGTGGGCGGAAATGAGCTCTGCCTAAAATGCTCCATTGGTTTCGCCCCTCCTAGCTGGGTGGTGCAACTGCAAAGAATGTGCTGTGAACCTTGTGAGCGAACATTTGAGCGCCACAGATCCATGACCTGTGGCAATAACTTAGGAAACTATAAAACCAGAAGCATAGTGACGCTAACAATAGGAACTTGGCCTTTCCTTCGTCTTACTATGGAATGCCTTCCTGGCCCACAACTCAAAGGTGCCCTTAGAGTAGCATCTTCAGGAGTGCTGATGCACTTCCTTTGTGATGAACTAAACAGCCTCTACTGTGCTGCAGAGCAAGAGTGAGACAGGAACATGTGCTCACAGGAAGTCAGTGGTTCCCTTTTTAACAATACCTGCTCCCAGTTCAGCCTTTTATAACTGCCTTTCAGAGCTTTTATGTGTTGGACAGAGAAGCTGGGCTCTACTCTACTGTCCCTCCCCTCCTGTGGGACTCCTTTCCAGTGGCTGGGTAGAGGGGAGTTTGCTGGGGCAGGAAGCAGCAGAGGGAGTTCCACAGCAAAGGATGAGACTCAGCGCAAGCTCACAGCTGTGTGAGCCAAGTTCAGTGCCTAGCTTAGATTCCACCTGTGGTTGTGGTAGGGGAGGCCAGCGGAAGTGTAATTCCTTCCGCATGACAGCCGATCAAGGTTCATATGTATGTGACATGCATATTAGGGCCAGCAGTTCCTCCTAAACAGGAGAGGTCCTCCCCTCCATGACACACACACATCCTGCCCTTAGCTAATATTTACATGCTAACTCTGGACAATTCTTCATTTAAATAAAAAATGAATAATTTGAGGACACCTGAAATGGGTTGAAAATGTCTGTTATGCTTAGAGATAAATGAGTGATGACACCATGCGGTTGATTATCTCCACAATGGTAAAGAAATAATTTAAGAGAGAAAAACAAGGTGAATAGGACCAGATCAATGACAAAACTGACCTTATCTTCTTAAGTATATTATGAAGGAAAGTACATATTTTCATCTTGGCCACCTGAAGTGAGCTCTGAAGGAACTCCATTCTTTAGATCTATACTTGTGATCCCACTGATCCCAATGAACAAAATTCCTTGAGGCCTGCTCTTTCATTTGTTTCTCTGGAGCACAAGAACCAGGTCCATGTTTACTGTGTTGGAAGACAGTGATCCTCGGCCTGATAGTCTGTGCTGATATATTTAAAAGAATGTAAGTAAATCTACACTTTTCAAATAGAAGAGGAAGTATTCACGCAAATGTGTAGTGCCTCCCTGTAGACGGATATGATCAGCTATTTTAGCTGCAAGTTTACAATTGTTGACATACTATAAAGACCATACTCTCAAGAAAGCATCAGAAAAATTCACTAGTAGTGATATAGTGAATGGTAGAACTAAAAATCAAAGATCTAGGATCTAGTCTTTTTACTGCTATTAATTAGCTGAGTGGTGTTCTACAAATTGCTTGACTTTCTAATCAAGTTAGCAAGTCTCAGTTTTGTAATTGCCAAAACAAATGATTTAAACTTCAGAATCTCTAAGGTTCATATATGCCAATATTTAAATATGGAAAACATTATCTTAGTGTAAGGGCCCATTTCCCCTGAATGAAGGCATATAATGCACAAAGACAATAACAGCACAGCCAGGTTCTGGAGCTGTTTACCAGCCAAGGTGAATCCATCAACTTCCTTTGACACTGTAAGGTGTCTTCTTCTATATCAGTACCCGAAAAAACTCAAGGATCCCTCCTCCGTGGTCATTTGCATCAGTTACATAAGTAGCCTGGTTGAAATCAGCACATTAAGGTATGACTTCCGTCTCCATTTGAAATTGTTTCTCCTCCTAGCAGCTTATGAGGTTTTCCATCCCTCTCTGTTTCTGGTACTCCTGTATCTTTCCTTCTCTCTGCAGCCAGTTTTTGCCTCTCTGCATAATATCTCAGATCTAGCTTCTGTAACTGGTAAGAGGATTACAATTAAACATGCAACCGAAATCTAGAAGTGTTTTGGTACAAGGTATCAGAGCACTGCTGCAGGTAGCTTCTGCAACAACAGGATATGGTGTAGATAATTCTGTCAAAAGATGTATGGTCCTTAATGTAGACATTAATGTCCTCAACAGTGCACCTCAGCTACCTTGCTGTGCATATCAGATTTCAGCAGCAGGGGCAAGTGGGAGTAGTATTGGCACCTTCAGCAAGTTTTGGAATGAGAGATGCCATCAGAGCTGTAAAAAAGAAAGACCAAGGATGGTGAGGGGTGGCATGAGGATGAGTCAAAGGTAGCATACGTGAAACTATCTCCTCCCACCTCATAGGTGATACTCAAAACTACTTGAGAGAAATGTGAAGAAGGCTGGAGTTCACAAATGGCAGAAGGGATATTGTGAACCTATTCTTATCTATTGAGAATGGAATAGGAAACATATTTGGCACATATTTTAATAAGACACTTTTTAAACTCCAACTGTCTGCAAATCATTTATGGCCAATCTAAATCATTTATAGTTAGCATCTATATTTTCCACAATTTCCAGAATCTTAACACTAATACAATGTTCCATGTTGTGGTATATGCTATTGGAATAACATGTCAAATACACTGAAACTCGAAAGTGTAAAATATAGGGTATTATTAATCAACTGATCCACATTTATTTAACCCACAAATTTGCATTAAACGTTTACCCTTTATTAGTTCAATGTGATGTTATTATAGTGACGGTATAATAATGATCCAGTAAAAATGTACATCAAAATTAAGAATAATTAAGATAAATTTGGAGAGAGCATGATTCCAAACAACAATAGAAAAATGATGATACCATATTAATAACCCTTATTTATTGGTTGCTGTTTTCATAAAACTCCTACATACATTACTTTATTTAAATGTGAGAATCAATACTAAGTAGTGTGTTATCTCCATTATAGAGCAGGTAGAGGGATTTCAAAACAATGATTGCAAACTTATGGCTGTTTTTTTTTTCTTTTTGACTCACATTATTGCTGTGGCTCTTTTAATCTGAATTAGCAGTATTCAAAAACAAGAAGAATTTACATAAAAATTTATATAAACTTCCCTTTAAAAACAAGGATATTGTACAACACCAGAGTCCACATTCTTAGCATGACAATAATATGCTGATGTTGAATAATGTATGTTCCTTTAAACAAGGCACCCAACTAGTCACCAATATGTTTTTTGTTAAAGATGTAATTAATATGTAATACACATATGGAAAAATGCAAAGAAAAAAAGATTATTTTTATAAAGTTAACACAAAGTTAATTTTTACATCAAGAAATACCCAAATCAAGAAATAGAACATTATTAACACTTCAAAGCCCCGCTTGTGTTCCTTCCAAATGACTCCCACCACCAAACATCACCCCACTATCTTGATTCCTTACACCATAGGTTATTTTTGTGTTTTTTTTGTTTTGTTTTGTTTTGTTTTGAGATGGAGTGTCGCTCTTTCGCCCAAGCTGGAGTGAAGTGGCACAATCTCGGCTCACTGCAACCTCTGTTCCCTGGGTTCAAGCAATTCTCCTGCCTGCCTCAGTCTCTGGAGTAGCTGGGAATGCAGGTGTTCACCACCATGCCTAGCTAATTTTTTGTATTTTTAGTAGAGACAGGGTTTCGCCATGTTGGCCAGGCTGGTCTTGAACTACTGACCTCAGGAGATCCCCCTGCCTCGGCCTCCAACAACCACACCCGGCCAACCACCACACCCAGCCATTTTTGCTTGTTTTCGAGCTTTACATAAGTGATACACAATTTCTTTCTTGTGTGTGGCTTCTGTTCCACATCATTTTGTTTGTGAGATTCATTCATGTTGCACTGCATATTTGAAGCTTGTTCATTCTCGTTGTTGTATAGATTCTATTCATGAACATATATCAATTTTATTTATTCATTTGATTTTGCTATACATCTGCCTTCTTTCTAATTTAAGTTGCAAATAGTGCTGCTGTGAATATTCTGCTGATGAATATCTTTTGGTGAATGTATATACCATTTCTCATAAGAATTCACCTAAGAATAGAATTGCTGGGTCATATGGTATGCATATATTCAGCTTTAGTTAGATAATGCCAAAAATATTTCCAAAGTGATTGTACCAATTTGCACTTCCACCAGTAGTGTATGATCATTCCAACTGCTCCACTTTCTTACCACCACTTTCTTCTCTCTACCTTGCCTTATCTATTGTTATTCCAATGTGGTGTAATAGTATCACATCATAGTTTTAATCTGTATTTCACTGATTATGAATGAAGTTGAATACTTTTCACAAGTCCATTGGCCATTTGGATATCCTATTTTGTGAAGTGCCTGTCAAAGTCCTTTGTCCATTTTCTTTTCTTTTGAGTTTTCCCTCCTTTCCTAATTGATTTGTAGAAATTCTTTATATATTCTAAATACAAGACTTTGTCAGACTTGCAAATTATTTTCTCCCACATGTGGGCATGACTTTTCACCTCTAATATGGTTTTTCATGATCAAAAGTTCTCAATTTTAATGTGGTCTAATTTGCCTTTTTAAGATTTTTCCTTCTAAGAAGAGTAATTTTTGTACCCTGTACAGAAAATTGTTGGCCATCTGAAGTTCACGAAGATATTCTGCTATGATTTCTTTTTGAACATTTATTATTTGAGCATTCATATTCAGATATACAATCCATCTGGAATTGATATCTGTCCGTGATGTTGAGGTATGGGTCGGGATATGTATTTCCACATAGTTTATCCAGCTGACCCAGCACCATTTACTGAAGAAAAAACAACAACAACAACAAAAAAAAACACCCCTTCCTCTGGTGAACTGTAGTGGTATCTTTGTCATAAATTGTAAAACAATTTATGTTTAGGTTTGTTTCTGGATTCTATTCAGCTCTTTAGTTTATCTATTTTTACACCAACACTCAAAATTACTTTACCTTTATTAATACTCATAATTACTGATTATTATAGGATTTTACTCTCTCTTTCTTGCTTTTATATATTGATATATAAAAATGTAAGCCCCCCAGCATGGCTCCTCAACATCATCTTGGCTAATCTTGGTCCTTTGCATTTCTTTATACATTTTGGAAACAGCTTGGCAATGTTCTCAAAATATCTCCTGAGATTTTTATTGAGATTGTATTAGATACAGCAATTTAGAGATAATTTATTTATATTACTTGTCTTTCAAACTATTAATATGGTATACACTTCCATTTATTCAGGTATTCTTTCATTTTTCTTGGGAAAGTTTTATTGCTTTAATTGTAGATGTGTTACATACTTTTATTAGATGTATTCTTAAATAGTTGATGTTGTTTTTGTTTTTTTGTCTTTGTTTTTGTTTTTTTGAGACAGAGTCTCACTCTGTCACTCAGGCTGTAGTGCAGTGAAACAATCTTAGCTTACTGCCACCTCTGCCTCTCAAGTTCAAGTGAACTGTGCCCAGCCAATAGTTCTGTTTTTGGATACTATTATAAATTGCATTCTATTTTTACTTTCATTTCCAATTTGTTTGTTCCTGATATAAAGAAATGTAGGCCAGTTGTGGTGGCTCACACCTGTAATCTGAGCACTCTGGGAGGCTGAGGCAAGTGGATCACTTGAGATCAGGAGTTCGAGACCAGCCTGACGAACATGGTGAAACCATGTCTCTACTAAAAATACAAAATTAGCTGGGTATGGTGGAACACACCTGTAATCCCAGCTACTTGGGAGGCTGAGATAGGGGAATCACTTGAATCCAGGAGGCAGAGGTTGCAGTGAGCCAAAATCAGGCATTGTACTCCAGCCTGGGCAACAAGAGCAAAACTCTATCTCAAACAAACAAACAAATAAACAAACAAAAAAAAAAGAAGAAGAAGAAGAAAAGGAAAAAAGAAACGTAATTGATTTTTGTTTAATGACCACATGCTATTGTAATTCAATGCTGCTAAAATCACTTACAAATATCAGTAATTTGCAGATTAATTTGGATTTTCTATGTACATGGCCATATTTCTGCCATTCTTTGCCTTATGCCTTTTATTTCTTTTTCTTGCATTAGTCTACTAGGATGGGCCTTCAGTATCTTGTTGGGAAGCAGTGATGACACTGGACTTCTCAGTCCCAAATACAGACAAAAAGCTTTCAATAATATCACATTTACTATAGGATCTTCTGTAGGTTTTTACAGAAGCTCTTTGTCAGATTAAGAAACTACCTTTCTCTTCCCAACTCTCTAAGGTGTTTTTCTTTTTTTGAATCATAAATGTGTTTATATTTTCCTGCACCTGAGGAGATGATTATAGGATTTCTCTCTCTCATTATCTGTCTCTTTTTTTAAATTACGTGGTAAAATTGCATTGATTGTTTTTGAATAGTAAACTTTCCCTTTCATTCTTGGAATAAAGTCCACTTGGTCACAATATATGGTACTAGGTAGGTCTATTATTCTTTTTACATTTCACTAGTTTTATGTACTCATATTTTACTTAGTATTTTTGCATTTTTTCTGTAATTTGCTAACAGTAAATTTTTGATAACAAGATCCTGCTAGGCCAGGCACAGTGGCTCACACCTGTAATCCCAGCACTTTGGGAGGCCAAGACAGGTGGATCATTTGAGGTCAGGAGCTTGAGACCAGTCTGGCCAACACGGTGAAACCCTGTCTCTACCAAAAATACAAAAATTGGCTGAACCTGGTGGCTTACGCTTATAATCCCAGCTACTCAGGAGGCTGAGGCAGGAGAATTGCTTGAACCCGGGTGGCAGAGGTTCCAGTGAGCTGAGATCGCACCACTGCACTCCAGCCTGGGTGACAGAGCAAGACTCTGTCACAAAAAAAAAAAAAAAAAAAAAAGAAGAAAAAAAGATTATGCTAACCTCTTAAAATAAAACGGAAGTGTTTCCTTTTCTGAGTTCCCAAGAACAGTTTATACAAGTGAATGTTACTTCTTACAGTAGAGGAGAAAAAAGTTGTATGTTTTTCTCACCCATTTCAAGATTCACAGGTGAAATTTATATATAATGAAGGTTTTATGTGACATGGGATCCTTCAGAAATGAAAACCTAAAGACCCAGGGAAGACCATCTGTTTCTTTGCTAAATCTAATAAAAGAAGCCGGTAATTTTATAGAAATATGATTGGACAAAAACATATGCTCTAACGGGAATAAACTGAGCAAGGCCTGTGTGTTCAGGCTTCTTGGCCTATCTGTGCAACATTTCTTTCTTCTTGGCACAGTGCAGGGCATCTGTCACAGGAGGGTCTTATGACCTACTTTCAGGAAAAGTAGGTCATAGACTGTTCTTTCTAGGTTTTATGGCTTGCTTTGGGGGAGAAATTGGGGCAGGAGGCAGAAGGATGGAAGAAGGTCAGAGAGACCTCACTTCTGAGGCCTTTTGTTTTCTTGAGCTCAAAGACAGTCAGCATGGCAAGGCACGATACTTTGGGGTATGATGTTCTAAACCCCAAAATTACAAAAAGCATTTGGGCCTGGAGGATTTTTGAGGGGGAAGAAGAGCAAAGGTTTTTGATTTTAAAAAAAAATCAATTTGTAAGTAAAAAAACTTTTAAACTTTCTAAGTCTTCTTGAGGTAGTTTTGATAAGCCATGTTTTCAAAAAAGTTATTAATTTAATACGAATTAACAACTTTATTGACACAATGTTACTCTTAATATAATTTTACTAACTCTTCAAAGTTTACAAGATGAGTAACAATACCACCTTTCAAGTCCTGGTATTGGCATTTTATATATTCCATCTTTTTTTGTTCGTTTGTTTTCCCAGAGATTTATTGATTTCTTCCAATAACAGGGTTCTATGTTTTCTTAATTTTCTCTTATAAATTTAATTTATATTTCATTGATTTTTTATTCCTATCAATCTTATTTCCTTTCTTGTACATTATCTTGGTTTGATTTGCTATTCTATTTTTAGTTTCTTGAATTGAAAGCTTCGGTCATTGATTTTTAATGTTCAATATTTTCATATGTTACAATCTTAACTCCTTCATCTCTGAAGCCATTTGGGTTCACAGATCATTTAAATGACCATTAACTGGCCAGTCTCAGTGGCTCACACCTGTAATCCCAGAACTTAGGGAGGCCAAGGCGGGCAGATCACCTGAGGTCAGGAGTTTGAGACCAGCTTGGCCGACATGGTGAAACCCCGTCTCTACTGAAAATACAAAATTAGTTGAGCATAGTGGGGCGTGTCTGTAATCCCAGGTACTTGGGAGGCTGAGGTGGGAGAATCACTTGAACCCAGGAAACAGAGGTTGCAGTGAGCCAAGATCATACCATTGCACTCTAGCCTAGGCAAAAGGAGCAAAACTCCATTTTGAAAAAAATAAAAATAATAAAATAAAATAAATGACCATTAACTTATCTAAGATCAGTGTGACATGTTTATAAGTTATACAAAGTGAATGATCAAATATTCTAATCCAGGACTGTCTGACAACTAAGTCCACGGTCTTTCCTATTCATATAAAGTTGATCATATAAGCCAGGAAGTAGATGATATCCCCCCACCAAAAAAAAAAAAAAAAAAAAAAAAAAACAAAAAAGAAAGCAAAAGTAAAAGAAATGAATCTTGACTAATATCTACTTCTTGTCAAGTACAGAGCAGCTTCTGGAGGAAATAGAGAAGGAACAGGAGAACCAAGAGAGTTATGTCTAGAGACTTCCTAATTGTGGAGCCTTAGACAAGTCCTTCCAGATTCCGAGATCACTGTTTCTTCATCTGTAAAACAAGAAACATGAACTAACTATTTCCAAGGTTTTTCTCCACTATAACAGCTGAGTTTCAAAGAAGAAATGATGATTAATGATGTTAAATGTTGCAGAGAGGTTAAAAAACATAGTTTAAGAAAAAGACAATAAATTTAGTAATCAAGTAAGCATTATACTTAAAGTGCGATCCCAATTACGAGCATTTTTAAGATAAAATGGGTTTTATGCCTTTCTCAAGTAGACAGGGAAATCTGTGAGACGAGACATCAACAACATTTGACATTTGGGAAAAGTCATAGCAGGGCTAGGAGGAACCACGCATAGACTTTTGTTAGCCAGATATTGACTGAGTTTCCTGAGTCCTCTTTCTCATAGTTACAGTGCTGTTTTGGTTTGGGCACAGGATAAAAATCAATCAAGAAAGATCATGAATAGAAAAAAAAGGACAGATTAATTTAGGTTTTATCATCAAAAACTATCTGACAAAAGTTGGTGTAAAAAAATCTAAAAGAAACAGCATCATATCTAGATAGGGCAAACTTTAAAAGCCAGATAACGACACTCAGTTTTCTGAGACCTCTTTCTCATAGCCATGGTGCTGTGCTGTTTTGGTTTGGGCACAGGATAAAATCAATCAAGAAAGATCATGAATAGAAAAAAAAAAAAAAGAACAGATTCACTTAGGTTTTATCATCAAAAACTATCTGGAAAATGAGATCACATGGACACAGGAACGGGAATATCACACTCTGGGGACTGTTGTGGGGTGGAGGGAGGGGGGAGGGATGGCATCGGGAGATATACCTAATGCTAGATGACGGATTAGTGGGTGCAGTGCACCAGCATGGCACATGTATACATATGTAACTAACCTGCACAATGTGCACATGTACCCTAAAACTTAAAGTATAATTAAAAAAAAAAAAAAAGAAAAAGAAAATCTAAAAGAAACAACATCATATCTAGATAAGGCAAGATTTAATAGGACAAGTAAGTCATTGCACAAAGATGATTAATGAAACATTTGAGACAAAATCCTCTCATTGACCTAGGTCTTTCCTCTATGACACTATGACGGCAATACAAATTATCATTAAGAGACTTAATTCTCCCTGTTGAAAATATAGGAAAAGATTTTCCTTCTTAGTGCATTCGCCTCAGAAAAATTGTAACTGTAAGCACTTTCTTTTCTCTTTAAGATGTGTGCGGGGGCCTTTTATCAGCTTCATGACCAAGGGCTGTCCTTCTCAAGAACCTAGGAGCCATTTTTTGATATGTACACATAGCATCCCTATCTCTCAGTTTCTGTGGGAGGGTAGAATTCTAACTTCCTCCATGGGCATGTTGCTCCAAGTTGTAAAACTACCTCTTGTCACAGAGACATGATAAGTTTGTTTCTCCCCTGGATAAAGTCAATCAGCTAACGGAAATGTTGACCTTAATCACCATGGGAAAGTTATGACAAATTATGTGTGAGTGTTAAGTCTTCTTACTTGAAGACTAGTTATTGTTTTTATTGAAAACGTGCATGCAATGGGTTACATCTCCTTGGCTATACATATGGGGGCGAGAGTCCTTTCCGCCTTGGTACTCTCTTAGCAGATTGCTTGTGAAGTGCAACATAGTCTGGCTTAATGCTTGTCTTCTAATGCTTAGCTCTAGTACCTTTGTGGAGAGAATTTCTGGGTTAGGAGATGATTTTGGTTTTAATTGTATTTTCATAACACATATCAAGGTTGAATCCGAACTGAACCATCTGAGACTCAAGAACACATTGCAAAATAAAGAAGCTCCTGCCTGGCCAGACTCCTTTATGTCTATTCCCAACAAACTAAATAGATCACTCGGCCAGAGGTAAATTGTTCTGGTGAAGGACAAGCAGAAGGGAGAGTCAACCCTACAATCTAGACACTTTAAATCAGAATCCCTTTCTTTGGTTCTCTCTCAGTAAATGTGTGCAGCTATGTAAGGGTCCTGTCCAAGAACATGATCTCATGTTGAAGAAATAAAGGCAGATACTGGATTCCACTGTTCAAGAGCTCAGAAATGAAACAGAGGTAAAGTTACCTGGAAGCTATTGAAGTATTTCAAGGTCTCTGGCTTATATGAGCCCTTTTCAAAGTCCTAGAAGATATTTAGGTGGTTTTGTTTTTATAAAATTTGCAAAAGTAAGATCTTTCTGTATTCCTTTCGATGAAGAAGACCAGCTAAATCATAAAAGCTTTAGGCTCCTGCTATGAAACGAAAAAAAGAAATAGCAAGGGAGCAAGAAAGTGTGGAAGAGTGTCACTGAATTTATGCATGTTCTAAAGACAGGATTTTCATATGAAAGTAGACACTTTCCAAAAATAGCTACTACAATTCTTAGAATTTTCTTCAAATTCCTGCCAAGTAATAGAAAACTTCAGTTACCCAAATGACCTAAATTCTTGACATTTAACTAAAAAAACCTGTCAGAAAATAGTTCACCAGTACATCTGCTTTTCTTCCACATAATTTATTTCACACAATTAAATACTGACAGCTAAAAAGAAAATAGCATAATCATTACAATGTTAGGTACCATCTTTTGAAAACAGAATGTTTTTGAAATTGGCAAATTTTAAGAATTTAGGAGCTTAAATTATAAAATATGAAAGTACAATATGAATATTATTTTGCTCTGACATACTGAAATATTTCAGCAAACATGCATAAATCGTTATTTATATGTAACTTGTTCATTTTATTATTATAAATATGTTAGGGCATGTGGCAGAAGGAAATGACAACCCTTTGTCCAAACCTCCTTATTTCTAAAAGTTTCTAAATTAAAATAATAACATTCATTAAGTGTAACCCCAAGTGGGTTCAGGTATGGGGATATACAGAAAAAGCAGTCAGTAAAGGTTAATTTAAATGTTTTGTAATGTATGCAAACCTCTAATATGAAAGGGGATATAAAGGACATCCTCAAGCCTGCTGGAATTCTGAAGGATCCTGGGAATGATCTCTCTTACTTTGTGAAGGCGTAGAGTTTTACTGAAGCTTTTACCTTCAGTAAAGGATGGAAGCATGAGACTGGCAAGGGATAGACAGATTTGGGAGTGTGCAGATGTGCATTGGAGGCAGATGACCTGGGCTGGCTTTTTATGGGCCCCACTCCACTCCTGTTCTGGAGGAGCTAGCTTTTAAAAGATTTACTCTATGAGGCCTATGGGGTTGTTGAAGTTGGCTAGAACTTTAGCTTTTATCTTTCCTTCATCCGAATTTCCTGTGAGAGTCCCCTTGACTTTCACAAAATGAATGTGCTATAGAAGCTAAAAGAACAGTATAACAAGAATGGAGATTTCACCTACCACATTATTTTTTCGAATCCAGCGGATGAGGTGCTTTGGCCTATTCATTGTCTGCCACTTGGAATTCCACATGGACAAAGATGGTAGTTGAATCCTCTGGAGCAAGAGCAGTGTCTGGATGTGATGTGTGTAAGAGGTAGAGTGAGGCCAATTCAAGCTAGCTGACAATTCCTCTTGGGCACACAGGTGGTAAGGGAGAGCTACAGGCACCATGGGATCAAAAGACAAGCTACAGGCACCATGGGATCAAAAGACAAGACCTCAACAAACCATGCATTACACACAGATTCTTATTTTTTATGTTCTTCTGTAAATAAAATAATCTTAATGATTTAACAAATATCAGCATTTGTTGCAATAGAAGTCCTTTCCAACCAGACTCAAAGCCCCTGAAGTTGCCTCAGTTTTGTTTATTTGTTTGATGGTTTTGGCTTTTGTTTTTGGTTTTATTTGGACATTGGTTTTTGGTTCTGTCTTTATGATACAATAACATATAGTGATTCTCAAGAAGCAGTGCTGTGTTTGGTAATACCTGCTAATTCATTATTAATAAATTACTAATAATATAAAATAGTAATCATTGGATTCTTGTTCAAAAACAGAAAAGATAAAAATTCTCTTATTATTCACAATTAATTAAGTTATCTTAGCAGCTCAAATGTAAATACTACAGACTAATGAATTAGTTGCTTACATTTTATTAGTAAATAAATCAATGCAATTTTTCTTTTTAGAAATGAACACAAATAATGTTTACTTGGCGCATATATTTCCTTGATCTTTGAGGTATATGACAGAAGCCCTAAAATTTTAAATAGTAGCAGTGTTTTTTTAAAAAGGTATTTAACCATTATAATGGTTTAATTATGGAGATTATCTGTTAGATATCAATGTACTTTGATACATAATAACAGCAAGAATGCCAATAATTTCATCACATTTAAAACAGCTATTCCAAAAACTCATTTTAAAAACATAAGATTTTCTGAGGAATACACTTAATGAATTAAGTTGCCATATTCATCCAGCGTCATTTTACATAGGACGCCACTGAAGCCCATTGTTTATTTTCCCCTGAAGCACGTGGCTATTGGCTAATTATCATGAGATCTAGAAGTTGAATCACACTTCTAGGGTCCCATTTCTAGGAAGTATCTAAAAAAATTTATAATTTAGTTTTTTCATTTAATCTGACTGAATTAGAGTAGCCTATGCCTCTTAATGGAGGGTAAGAGCACTTGGAGTAAAGATGGTCACAATTTTGACCCAATGGCAAGTAGAGGCAGCCAATTGTCATAGCTCATCGGCTGTTCCTTCATTTACCGAATGAAACAATGCATCCTAAAGGGCTTTAAAAACAAAGTTTGTTTGTAAAAATAATATTAAAAAATAGCTCTTTGGTTTTCAAGGCAAATGTTGTCATGTATTTTACACAACATGACTTGTGTTGATGTGACAGATTTGAGGATTTCAAAATATCCTATTAAGTAATGTGCTTTTACCTGTAGAAATCTGAAAGTTGCCAGGTAAATCTCCCATTGGCACAAAGACTTTATTTACATAGTGTAACAGACGCTGTTATTTGGGACCTTGCTAAATTTGTCAAAAAAAAAAGTACCCCATTTATTTTTATCACTTCCAAGTATAGAAGAAAATAAAAATACATAAAGGTAAGAAAATGCCAAAAGCATGATGACTCACATAAAGCACATATTTTGAACACTATATCATGTAACCAGTGGTGACCACCTAAGCAGTAGCAACAACAGGGCACTTATATAATTTATAATAAATCCAGCCATATAGCTGAGTTTTATATTTTATAGGATCAAGACCCTCAATTTAGCTCAAGAAAACAGCGTAGGAACCTCAAGTCAAAATGATTTAGGATATGTATTTTTGTAAATAATTTTCAATTCAAGCCTTTTGCTTTTCTATACTTAATCTTGTAATATGAAAATGCAGGCAGATAATTAAAAAGAAAATAGAAAATAACAAAAATAAACTAATATAATATTCACTTATATTTTTAAGGTAGTATTTATTTTCTTGGGTTTGAATTAAGCTCCTGAAATTGTAATAGTCTAGGTGTCTTTGAAGCTTTGAGACTTTTAAGTTTAACAATGTTAATAATGATATAAACAGGTTTAAATGTGACTGCTGACATTATAATTAAAACTGCCAGATCTGGTTTACATAGAATAACTCATTCATTCATGATCTACTGTGATTACTTTGTTTGTATATTGTGGTTGATATTGTAGGGCTTTATGTATTATTCATAACCTTATTATAATTAAACAAATTTTCTGTTTTGGACGAAGTATTCTTAACAGGTTATGTCTGAGTACAACTATGTTGGAAATTGTTCTCAACTAATTTCATATTCAAAATCTATAAAATAATTATCTTCAAAAGGCCCAGAAAGTTTGAGGCATAATCTTTTGACTCTCAGGATTATTGAGTTTCCTTAAGTAGATAGAATGTTTACTTGACATAGTAATAGTTCAATAAATGATAAGCATTGATTATGACATATGGTACTCCTGACATTATATTATGCCAGGATTTCTTAGTCCCTGCCACTACTGACATTTTGATCAGATAATTCTTTGTTGTAGGGATCTGTCCTGGATATTATTAGATACTCAGAAGCACTCCCGACCTCTACTCACTAGATGTCATTAACATCTAGTTTTCAACCAAACCAAAATTTTCAACAACCAAAAATGTGTCCAGATATTGCCAATGTCCTCTGGGGTATAAAACTGCCACAAGTTGAAACCCCTGTATATTTTTTAAAATAAGTTAGGGAAACAACAGAAATGAGCTATATCTTTTACCTTTGATTGGTTTAAAACCACTTTCAATTAACACGGAGTAATCATGGCAGTTTTTCTCTCCTTCTTCCATAGCTATGAAACAGTTACAAGAGAAATGAAGAAAGGTGAGGTGTTATCAGGAGAGAAGGAGATGGAGTAATGCCAAATTGTACCATCTAAACTGTGTGGAGAACACATGCATAGGAATTGTTACTAGGTTGTTCTGTGGTCCATCAAAATCTCCATCTCTGACACATATAAATGCAGAAATTGGTAGCTTTTCAAGTAAAAAAGAATAGGCTTTGTATACTCCAAAGTGATTTTCAATGAAACAGAACATTTACATTTGTCCTTGCTATTTTCCCGGAGTGTGCCATGACAGAATCCTCACCCGGGGTGAACCTCCCACCGATGCCTCATCACACTGGCCCGCCTGTTGTCATTTTTGATGTGGCCTTGTAGAGTCCTGCTCAGAGCTGACTTAGCTCTGGGCTGCTCCTTACAGAAAATGTTAACAAGCACAGGCATTGAGGAAACAGCTCTCCTGCAGGGATTTTGACCTGAGGCCACAGATTCAGGAGTGAGTTTATAGCTTCATAGCATGTTTTTAATTTAGTCACCTCAAAGATTTGTATTTCTCAGACTTGCAAACTGCTCACCCCTCCTCCCATCCCTTGAGGGTCCCCCACCCCCATTCCCAACCCCAGAGGAAGTTTCTCTTGCAAAGAACAGAGAGTCCAGTTAGGTAACTAATGAGCTACATACACTGCTTGATAGACAGCTTTTTCCCTCTTCAAAAGGCAGCTCATAGGGGTGCTTTGTGTTTGTGCACTACCAAAGTCACCACAAATCACCCCTTATGCGGCCACCTCCACCAAATTATTTTCTATTTATGAGACTTGATCACTAAGAGTAGCTTTTAATCTGAATTTTGACAATTGAAATTTTTAGCTACCTCTGAAAACAAAAATAATCATTCATAGAATTAACTTTTTATACAGAAATTTCACATTCTGACGACTTAAAGTGGCAGGTTTTATACAATCTAAGTTTTCTCATTATTGACAGTTTTGTGTCCGGTAATTCTTTGTTGTGAGGTCTGTCCTAGGCATTGCAGGATGTTCAGCAATACCTCTGTCATTTACCCACTAGATGCCAGTAGCAGCCCCCGCCCCTCCCCCACAGTTTTGACAACCAAAAATGTCTCCAGACATTGGCAGATATCCCCTGGGGGTAAAACCACCCCTGATTGAGAACCACTGATCTAATGTGGCACAGAGTAAGTATCTGTCATTTGATTATGTGCTGGAACTTTAGGACTGTTAGACATTTACTACTAGAAACACGTACAGTTACAGATAGCCCTTTTTTCCCCAATAAGGAAAATCCTTAAGAATTTAATTTTCAAAAAACTTTTTTACCAAATATCTTGATAGATATGAAATGGAGAGAAACCCATTTATTAGGAAGCCATAGTTTTTCATTTTTTTGTGAGGGGTTTAAGTAATAAGTGTACATTTTCATAGTCAAGAGAAATATGACAATTCTCTCTGGCAGTTATATACCGGTTTCATGTGGACTTCCCAATTTCCTTGGATCAGGTCCAGAACCTCTGTATTGTAGAGTCTTCAGGGGAAAGCTGGGCCATGAGATAAGTTGAACCTGTTGTTATTCATGCATTTGTGATTGAATAATAGGGAACAAAGTGACTTAACATTTTTCACTAAGAAGATATTATCAAAGCAGCAAGTGCCAAGTTTTACCAAATAGAATTATTAAAAATTAATTTAATTAATGTAGTTTTGATATCACTAGTACATGAGGTACAGTTGTTATTAATATTTTTAATTTTAATTTTATAAAATGGATCAATATCTATGCAACTGTGTAGTTTCTGACTTATCTCAAGTAAGGAATTAAAATAGAGCATATCTATTGCACTTTACAAGCATTATCCTTGACACATAAACTTTAAATAAAGGCTATTTGCTATAATCCATAAGAAAAACTCTGGTGATGAGCAAAGAAGTATGTAACAAGTGGAATAATTACAAAAATGGAAAAATAAAGAAGCACAAAAAATAGTGGCACTGTAAAATGCAGTGACATTTTATACTTAATAGCTTTGCAGTTTAGAGGACACTTTTGCTATTACACCATAATGTATACAAATTAAATAATGAGACCTCAGTGAACAAAAGGCAAATAAATAATTTTTACTTATTCTTACTGTTACTAGAAGCAGGAATGGGATATGGAGTATAAATTTTGTCATGCAATAGGTGGAATACAGTATGATGAAGGGCTTCTCAGTAATTTTGGAGAGATCTTCCAGGTAGCTCAGAAATACATGCTGATCTCTATAAAATCTTTCCTGCTGTGTGATTTCAAAAGGAAGGCAAGCTTGCTTGCAGGCATTATGTAACTGGCAACTGCAATTGGAGAGATGTTATTGCCTGGATCTATGAGGTGCCAAACATGGATAGAAACAGCAGAACTCTAATTGTACAGTTCAAGGTTAATTAAGACATTGTACTTTAAACAACTGACCTTGCAGTGAGTGTGGAGAAGGGATTATCTCCAATTAGTGCATCAATTTTGAGGTAAATTACCATCCACGTGGATTATTTTGGCTTAGCATGGGTTATAGATCAGAGTAAGACACAAAAGATGAAAAAGGAAATGTCAAAAGAAGAGCATCATACAGGGTCAGGAACAACAACAACAAAAATCCATTAGTTGCTTCTGACTAAAAGTCTCGTTAATCATCTAGTGAGAATAAATGGAAACTAATACAAAAACATCGTTAATATTTTATGTTACTTCTAGATCATATTTATGTCTTCATACTTAGGTGTATCTGTAGAGTAAACCAGATATATTATTTCATATAGCAGTTTCTTTTTTCATCACTAGATATTTTATTAGCTTTATGTAGTCAAATGTTAAAAGAATAGCCTTCAAGTATCGTTTCAAATTGGTGAAATGGTGGATCCAACTAATATTTTTAGACAAAATTTCAATGCTTAATGTAGGAGGGTCCTATAAAATTACAGAATTGATAATAGTCTGTTAGGTATTTACATATTTATATACATTATCTCAGTATTTACATGGCTTTAATCAATATTATTTTACCTCCTTGGCTAGATGATCACATTATCCAATTGTATATGAAAGCGGCCTTTGGTAAAAGTGAGGAGCTTGTTTAAAGAGTTTCTACTATAAATCTTATAGAAACTATAATAATAATTACAATTCTATCATTTATTTTTTCATGTAACACACACACCTGCACACCTATGCATGCACACACTTACACACACGCATACATATAAATAACAGGCACTGTCCTATTTTCCTTTTGCTATATGTATGATGTTAGCAAAACAGTTACAGTCCCTTTACTCAAGTAATTCTCAGTGGGGTGTGGTCCACCCTAAGGAGTTTAGGAGTTGCACAATGGGAAGATTATCAAAAGTTTTAAGCAAGGAGTTACAAAATCTAACTTACATTTTTATTCCTTTTTTTTTGCTATTTTTCAAAAAAAAATTAATCTGACTTACATTTTTAAAAGCTCTCCTTTAAAAACTTTGCATAATATGATGCATGTACTATGGAGATCCAAGAACTGATGTAAGGATATCAGCCAGGGAGCTAGCGCATTGGTCAAAATGAAAATTAATGATGCTTGATGCTTGGAAAAAAGAATGGAAAGAAAGAGATGGAGAAAAATCAACAGGATCCAGATATAGTTTTGAGGTAAGATTGACAAGACTTGAGGCTTTGAATTTGAAGAGGGTGATGAGGGTGAGGGTGAAATTTGAAGGTGGAAAGGTTCAAAATCAGAAACCTGTTTGTAAAGAAATTAAAAGTTTCATGACAAATTCATACAGAAATCAAAAGAAAATATCAAAACTATATGGGCTTCTTGATAAACTGGATGACATAATATTTTGAATTTTGAATTAAAGTATAGTTTTGATGATGAAGCTGGGTAATGAAGTGAATTCTGGGGCTGACCTACTAAACTACTTTTTAATCATTTACCATTGAGTGGGAGGAATATGGAAGTCATAGTTGACTAAATTATCTAATGGGGGTTCCCTAACTCCTCTCTCTTTTCACAACAAATTTTTAAAAAGTCAGATACTTCCTTTTTCAACTTCCCTTATAGCTAGGGAGTGCCAGGTAGACTTGTTATTGCCAACAAGAAGTGAGTGAAAGCATGCTTCTGCTGCATGTGTTCCTAGAAAGATGTTTCTTATCTGATAAAAGAAGAGAGTCAGATATACCACCTCTTGTCTCGCTCTTTCCTCACTCTCTCCCTTATCCTGTTCTCCCTAGTCTTTCCCTTGCTCTACTGTAGATGTCGCTTCACTTTCTCCTTGTGTTCTCTGACATGTGAGCCATGAGCCACAACTTGGTTTAATAATGTGATTTGGCTGTCTCTCCTCATGCCTGAATAGTCTTGTCATCATAGTTGCTTGGACCAATAAAATGGGAATGCAAGTGAGGTGTCATTTCTGGGTAGCAGTGTTAAGAAGTCCTATAAATCACTAAATATTCACCCAGAATTCTGATAAATCAAAACTGAAATATCCTACTCCAGACATCTTGTTAAGAAGGCAATAAATATTGATGTGGTTTGGCTCTGCCCCCACCCAAATCTCATGTTGAATTGTAATTCCCAAAGTTGGGGGAAGAACCTCTTGGGAGATGATTGACTCACAGGGGCTGGATTTCCCCCATGCTGTTCTCATGATAGCAAGTGAATTCTCACAAGATCTGATGGTTTAAAAGTGTGTGGGACTTCCACTTTTGCTCACTCTCTCTCTCCTGCCACCATGTGAATAAAGTGTTTGCTTCCCCTTCACCTTCTGCCATGATTGTAAGTTTCCTGAGGCTTCCCATTCATGCTTCTTGTTAAGCCTGAAGAACTATGAGTCAATTAAACCTTTTTTCTTCATAAATTACCCAGTCTCAGGTAGTTCTTTATAGCAGTGTGAGGACACACTAATACAGAAAATTGGTAACAGAAGGGTGGGGTATTGCTATAAAGATACCTGAAAATGTGCAACTGACTTTGGAACTGGGTAATAGGCAGAAGTTAGAAAAGTTTTGAAAGCTCAGAAGATAGGAATATGTGGGAAAGTTTAGAACTTCCTAGAGACTTGTTGAATGGTTTTGACCAAAATGCCAATAGTGATATGGACAATGAAGTCCAAGCTGAGGTGTTCTCAAATGGAGATGAAGAACATACTGGGAACTGGAGTAAAGGTCACTCTTGCTATCCTTTAAGCAAACAGACTGGTGTCATTTGCCTCTGCACTAGAGATCTGTGGAACTTTGAACCTGAGAGAGATGATTTAGGGTATCTGGCGGGAGAAATTTCTAAGCAGCAAAGCATTCAAGATGTGACCTGGCTGTTTCTAAAATATATGCTCATATGCATGAACATAGATTATCTGAATCTTGAACTTATATTTAAAAGAGAAGCAGAGCATAGAAGTTTAGAAAATTTGCAGCCTGGCCATGCAGTAGAAAAGAAAAACCCATGTTTTGGGAAAAATTCAAGCCAGCTGCAGAAATTTGCATAAGTAAAGAGGAGTCAAATGTTAATAGCAAAGACAATGGGAAAAATGTCTCAGGGCATTTCAGAAACCTTCTCAGCAGCCCCTCCCATTACAGGCCCATGGCTAGGAGGAAAAAATGGTTTTGTGGGCCAGGCCCAGGGCCATTGCTTCAGAGGATGCAAGCCCCAAGTGGTGTTTGGCCTACAGTTGCGCAGAAGGCAGGAATTGAGGTTTGAGAACCTCCTCCTAAATTTCAGGGGATGTATGGAAACACCTGGGTGTCCAGGCAGAAGTCTGATGCAGTGGAGGGGCCTTCATAGAGAACCTCTACTAGGGCAGCAATGAGGGGAAATGTGGAGTTGGAGCCCACATGGAGTCCATTCTCACACAGCTGTAAAATACTACCTGAGACTGGGTAATTACAAAGAAAAGGAGCTTACACAGTTCTTCAGGCTTAACAGGAAGCATGACTGGGAAGCCTCAAGAAACTTACAATTATGGTGGAGGGTAAAAGTGAAGCAAATACCTTCTTCACATGGTGGCAGGACAGAGACAGAGTGAAGGGAGATGTTCCACACACTTTAAGCCATCAGATCTCGTGAGAACTGACTCATTATCAGAGAACAGCATGAGTGAAATCCTACCCTGTGATCCAATCACCTCCCACCAGGTCCCTCCCCCAATGTCGGGAATTACAATTCAACATGAGATTTGGGGATGGGACACAGAGCAAAACCACATCATTCCTCCCCTGGTCCCTTCCCAATCTGATGTCCTTCTCACAATTCAAAACACAATCATGCCTTCCTAACAGTCCCTGAAAGTCTAAACTAATTCCAGCATTAACTCAAAAGTCCAAGTTCAAAGTGTAATCTGAGACAAGGCAAGTCCCTTCTGCTTATGAGTCCACAAAATCAAAAACAATCTAGTTACTTCCAAGATATAATGAAGGTAGAGGCATTGGGCAAATGCTCCCATTCCAAATGTGAGAAATTGCCAAAACAAGGGGGCTACAGGCCCCATGCAAGCCTAAAACCCAGGAATGCAGTCATTAAATCTCAAAGGTCTAAAATAATCTCCTTTGACTCCATATCTCACATCCAGAGCATACTGATGCAAGGGGTAGACTCCCAAGGCCTTGAGCAGCTCCGGCCCTGTGGATCTGCAGGGTACAGCCCCCATGGTTGCTTTCATGGCCTGACGTTGAGTGCCTGTGGCTTTTTCAGGCACACAGTGCAAGTTGTCAGTTGCTCTACCATTTTGGGGTCTGGAGAACCATGGCCCTCTTCTCACAGCTCCACTAGGCAGCACCCCAGTGGGGATTCTGTGTGTGGGCTCCAACAAAAAAATTAGCTGGATGTAGTGGTAAACACCTATAGTTCCAGCTCCTTGGGAGGCTGAAGCAGGAGATTGCTTGAGCCTTGCAGGTCAAGGCTGCAGTAAGCCATGATCAGGTCACTGCATTCCAGCCTAGGTGACACAGCAAGACGCTGTTTAAAAAAAAAAAATTGTGGGTGGAGGACATGAACAGAAATATATTTCAATTGATGTCAATTTGTTTGGTACTATTCAAGGTTTCAGTATCCACTGGGAGTCTTGGAATGTATCTTCTGTAGATAAAGGGCCACTACTGTATTACAATGCCTATCAAATGTCTAGCAGAGAGAAAGGGCTCAGTAAATATTAGCCACTCCACCTCCAGAACAATAGCCATAGAAATTTTACTGTGAGAGGGTAAATAGATGTTTAGTTAACTGTTTTCAAGTACAGTTTCCAGTAGAAAAATAAGTATACAATCAAATAAAATGTCCATTGTTGCAATACCCTGAAATAATTTGAAAAATTCAGAATCTACTTAGTTTTAAGGTCTTTGAGGTCAGGAGTGAAACCTAAACATAAGGAGGCTATAAAGTACTAGACATTTTGTGTTCTTTGTAATTGACATTTGAATAAATACCAGGGGAAACAGGAAGTGAGCATGGAAAGCTTCTAGATGCACATTCTAGATACTGTAGGGAGGCTCTGCTATCTGCCTCTCTAAGTCTGTTCTGTTACAATGCAGCTAAGTCTCACCATGGGTTCTCCCATCCCTAGAGTGCTCCCTTAATCTTTGTTCCTGGCCTTGGATCATTAGACCTGCAGTTGTTACAGCCCCAGATATCGGCAGCTGTGTTTCTAACCATGGCTTGATAACCCAACCATGAACTTTGACCACCACCATCTGGTTTAACGATGTGGCTTTGTTGTTCTCTATTCAAGCCTGAATAGTTCCACCATCACGCTTGCTTGGCCCAATGAAATGTGAACGCAAGTGATGTGTGACTTCTGGGTGGCAGGGTTAAAAGCCCGGGTATGATTCACCAAGCGACCTATTCCCTGCCACATGATCCTGGGGGCAGATGGATAGCTGATCTCTGAGTGACTACAGTGAACAAAGAAAGAAAGACTCCTGCCAAACCTTGTGGACAGGTAGTACAAGCAAGAAATTAACTTTTGTTCTGTTAAGTCTCTGAGATGTTGGTTGTTGTTTTCCATTGTATAACCTACTTTTCTTGACAAAAACCCTCATTAAAGCAGAGCCTGAGCTCCTCTCCACTATTTAAAGAACTTGGGGATCTAGATCAGGACTAGCCATCCTGGAGATGTTCAGTAAAGATTCTCTAATTGAATACAAAATGTCCAATAACAAAATATGGGTTTTTTGAAGGCCCAATAGAATGGGTCATGTTTTAGTCTCATTTTATGATTTATTAAAGTCAAGGATAGCAAAGAAAGTAATATTTTTTAAGATGCTTAAAATAGAGTGTTAAAGTAGGGGAGAGGTTCTTAACCTATTCCCTTCACTCTTGTGTGAGAGAAGCTATCATTTAAAACCCTGGCTCTTTTCATACTTCAATCCTACTGATGTTTTTCTTTTCTTTGAGACGGAGTCAGGCTCGAGTGCAGTGGTGTGACCTCTTGGGTTCAAACGATTCGCCTGCCTCAGCCTACTGAGTAGCTGGGATTACAGCTGCATATCACCATCCTTGGTTAATTTTTGTGTTTTTTAGTAGAAATTAGGTTTCAACATGTTGGCCAGGGTGGTCTCAAACTTTTGACCTCAAGTGATCTGCCTACCTCAGCCTCACAAAGTGCCGGGATTACTGGCGTGAGCCACCATGCCTGGCCCCTACTGACTTTAAAAATATGAAGTTGTATGGTTGAAAAGTAACAGATTTTTCTTCCATTTTCTTCCTTTTCTCACTTTTCAGTCAGATAATTGGAATGTTCCCTTTGTAAGGTTGGGAAGAAGGACGATCAAGTGGGTAGCTAGCTCCTTGCACCTCTGTGGAAGAGCTAAACTTCCTCTGTGAAGAGCTTCACCACAGGGCCCTTGGCACTGGGGACAGAGTGGCACATTTATACCAAGCACCCACTTCCACTTTCTCTCTAACACTTGAAAACTTTCACAGTACTTTTTCACTAAGGCTACTGTCAAGTCTGAAAAATAAAGACATTGTTTCACTTAGAAGTTGTATTACCTGTGGATTATTTAAACTCCCCTAAATGACATCTAGATGATATAGTAAGAAATTTGTTGTGTAGTGTACAGTCAACTCAGATACAAAGAATGTAATGGCTTTAGTGAGCCAACTGTACTTGTAAAATTAAAACTTAACCAACATGTTGAATCAGGCACATAAAGTATTGGCTAAATTCATTTGCTTCCTTATAGACATTACTTTAGAAATTCCTCTTTAGTGTTTAAATAAATAATAATCTAAAGTAAAAAGCACAAACAGGAAAATAGGCTTTACAGTTAATTATTTTCTTTTGAAGTTTTATTCTTATTGTTTTTACTCTCAAGAAGTGGCGAAGTATCTTTAACTGGGTAAAAGTAGATTGTCTTTACCAAACTGTATATTTGGGTTTTTGTGAATTCCCAGTATCTTTTGGGGTACATACATAGTGTGCCAACATTTGAAAGTAAACAGAGAAATGAATTCTGCATATAAGTCTGGCTTTTTACGTTAGGTTATGATCAAGACAAGTTGATTTGTTCCTGGACACAAGGTGAGCCCATATGCTACTAGGTTACCCCTCACCTTGCTAGACAGATGCAGATTTATGAGGGCAAACCTTATAGGAACATCCTCTATCATTCCTCAGATGATAAGGCACTGGCTCCCATATTAAGTTTTAACAATCTAGTGAGTGAAAAATGAAAAACAGCGAGTATCTCTGGATTTAATCACAGACACATAAGAAAAGTAAAATTATCATTCAACCTCAGGGATAGTGGATGAAGGCAGAATCTTAGTCTTATAAATTTAATTTAATACATGAAATGCCTCCAAGATTTGAGGCTTTGTGGGATAATAAGAAACAATCACGGAAGACCTGCACTTTGAATAATCCAACGTCAATTTTTGCTTTTTATCTTACTCAATCTCTCAGCAACATTAGACATGGTTGACCCCTTCCTATTTCTTGAAGTATTTTCTGTGCTTGGCTCCCAGGATGCCATACTTTCCTGATTTTTTTCCCATATCATTGGCTTCTACTCCTTTGTCTTTTGTTGATTCAGTCTCAATTCTCCAGCCTCTGAAGTTTAAAATGCACCAGAACCAGTCCATGGACTTATTTAGCCTCACTCTTCCTACTGATCTCCACACAACGCCATGTGTATGCTGAGGACTCTAAAATATTCCGTCTCTTCCTTGGTGTCCAGACTTGAATAACTGCCTACCTGACATTTCAACTTGCATCTCAAACTTAACATAACTCAATTTTCCTCAATAAAACTTTCCTCTCCATTGTTATCCATGTTAGTATATGAGACCATGATTTGGGCAAAAAACTTGGAAATAAATCTTTATTCCTTTTTTTCCCTCATATCCACCCAATCCATCAAATTTTATCAGCACTTCCCTTAAGATATTCTATAATTGTATCATTTGTTACTACCCTTGTCCAAATCTACGTTTACTCTTGACCCCTTGCAATCAATTTTCTACACAGCATCCAACATGTTATTCTTTAAAATGTTAAATATTTTTCTTTGACACATACACTATTGCTGAAAATCTTACAATAGCTTCTCATCACACTTAGAATAAAACCACAGTGCTTTCTTCCTAAAAGGTTCGTATTATTTGAGCACTTGGTTCTCTCTCCAGTCTCATCCTCTCAGTCCTGTGAACTGTCTCAAGCTACAGTGACCCCCACAGTGTTTTTTGGCAAGTCAGTCATGCTCCTATTGCTCTTCTTAAATTTGCTTATCTTTCTGCCTCAAATGTTCTTCCTCAAGATAGCCTCATGGCTCACTCCCTCAATTCCTTCAGTGTATCTTCACATTAATCATTCAAAGAGGGTCTCAAGTAATGTAACCAAATCTATTCCACACTCTCCTTTATCCCCTACCCTGCTCAATTTTTCTTCATGGTCACCAAAAACAAGTAAAAAAATGAGACAATGATCTTCGATACATTGGACATCAAACAATAAAAAACAATAATTTCTGAAAGACTGGAGTCAATCAAGGTGATCTCTAATTTTCCTCAGCTTATTGATTTAAAAAAATAATCCAGACCTCAGAACAGGGAAGAGGAATGCAAGTACAGCCTAGAGAACTTCCTGAGTTGAGGAGATGAAACCAAGAGTCTGGGGAGGCCAACACAGCTGGAGTTTTCAGGATATAGTATATGAAAATAGAAAGCTGCACCAAAAAAACCCAAAAAAAAACAAAACAAAAAAAACAACTCCAGAGACCTGCAGAAGAAGGTCCTTTTTTCAGCAGAATACTGATCAACACATGCATGTGAGGAATCCATCCAAAGCCAGGGGAAAAAAAAACACTCAAAAAATTAGAGAAAGCAGTGTCTAGCATTAACACTGAGCTCTCACCAGCCAGAATGCACAACCATTTAATTCACAGGGCATTAGTAGAGTACTCAGAAGGGTCTTGCCTCAATAGTGGAAAACAATTAGCCCTAGACTAAACACTATTCTGGTCCCACATAATGAATCATAAAAGCAAAACACAAAAATATGAAATTGTTTTTAAGTAGCTGCATTCTACAACAAAGCTCAAAAAGCTGTAGGAATACAAATAACATGCAGTATTCAACAATGCAAATTCAAAGTGTCTGGCATCAAATAAAAGCTTACCAGGTACGCAAAGAAGTAGGAAAATATGACTCATAATGAGAAAAATGTCAATCAATTGAAACTGACCCAGAACATAAGCAGATAATAGAATAAAAGCATAAAAAAAGAATACTGCATTCCATATATTCAAACAAATAAGTAACAACATAAGAATGGTATAAGAAAGACCCAAATCAAATATTCAGAGATAAAAAGTACAATGTATGTGATTTAAAAAATACACCATATAAGATTATCTGATTATTAAGCTTTAGTGATTTTGAACACATAACAATTAAAACTATCCAAAACAAAACATCTAAAATAATTTTCAAAAATGTCATAAATGAACTATGGAACAACTTTAAGTAGCCTAATATGCATTTAATTGGAGTCTCTAGAAAGGGGTGGATAGAAAATACATATGAAGAAATAATGAATGAAAAATTTCCAAACCTGATTAAAACTATAAAACCACACATATACAAGTAGTTCCATGAAACCCAAGGACAAAAAAATGAAGAAAACTACAGCAAGGCACATCAAAAACAAATTGATCAAAACAAAACCAGTGCTAAAAATTAAATATCAAAACCAGTTTAAGAAAAAAAGAACTTTACATAAAGAAGAACAAAGATGAGGATGACAGCAGATTTCTTACTAGAAACAATGCAGGTAAGAAAACAGCATCTTTAAACTATTGAGAGAAAAAAGCATCATTCTATAATTCTATTCCAGTGAAAATGTGTTTCAAGAGTAAAGGTAAGCTGGGCACAGTGGCACATACTGGTAGTCCCAGGTACTTGGGAGATTGAGGCAAAATAATTACTTCAGCCCAGAAATTTGAGGCCATCCTAAGCAACATAGCAAAACAACATCTCTTAAAAAATAAAAAATAAAATAAATAAAATAGAGCCAAAGCAGTTTTTTTTTTTTTTTTTTTTTTTTTTTTTGCCAGACATGGTGGTGCATCCCTGTAATCCCAACACTTTGGGGGATAAGGCAGGAGGATCATTTGAAGCTAGGAGTTCAAGACCAGACTGGGCAACATAGAAAAACCTCCTTTCCACTAAAAATTTAAAAATTGGGCTGGAATGGGTGTGCACACCTATAGTTCCAGCTACTTAGGAGGCTGACGCATGAGAATTGTTTAAGCCCAAGAGTTCAAGGCTGCAGTGAAACATAATTACACCATTGTGCTTCAGCCTGGGTGAAAGAGCAAGACCCCATTTCAAAAAAAATAAAAAAATATTTTTTGGAAAGACAAAAGCTGAAAGAATTCATCACCATTTCAGATCTGCACTGTTTGGAAAAAAATAAAAATATATTATGAAATTTATAACATATAAAAGTAAAATGTATGACAATAATAAAAAGGGCAGGGAAGGGTAAATGGAAGTATCAATTGTAAAGTCTGGTAATGTACTGTTGCAAGGCTCTTATACAATATGTAAAGTAATGTCACTTGAAAATAGACTAAGTTAAAAATGTATACTCTAAATCCTGAACAATGAGTAATACAAAGTATGATAGCTAATAAGCCAATAAGAAAATGTAATAGAAACAAAAAGTTAATCAAAAAGAAGGCAGACAAAAGAAGGAAAGAGGTGAAAGAAAAAAATGGACAAATGGAAAACAAATGGCAAAATGATAGATTTAAATCTAACAATATTAAAAGCCATATTAAATGCAAATGGTCTAAACATACCACTTAATGGCAGATACTGTCATAATGGATATAGAAACAAGACCCAACTATATACTGTTGATAAGCAATAAACTTTAAACATACACAGTTTAAAAATAATAAAATGAAAAATAGACACCATGATGAAACCAGTGGAAAGAAAGCTACGATCAAAACAATTGATTTTAGAACAACAAATATTACCAAAGATAAAGCTGATCATTTCACAGTGCTAAAGTGGTTTGTTGTTTAAGAGAATATGACGATCTGGTTCAAGAGCTTCAAAATGCATAGAGCAAAAACTGATAGAATTACAATAAAAAAGAGAGAAATCTGCAACTATAGTTAGAGATTTTAATTTCTTTCTGTCCATGACTGATAAAAGTAGACAGAAATCATTAAGTATATAGAATACTTGGATGACACTATCAACTAAACTGACCTGGTTGACATTTATAGCACACTTTACCCATAAACAAAAATCACACTTTTTTTTCCCAAATGTATGTAGGACACTTATCAATATAAATCATAATCCAAGCCATAAAACAAGTCTCAATACTTAAAAGAAGTCAATTCTTATAAAGCATAATTTCCGAATACCATAAAACTAAACTGGAAAAAAAAATAACAGAAATATCTTTGGAAAATCCTCATTTATTTTGAAACTAAATAATACTCTTATAAAACTTATAAATCAAGGAAATCAAAAGAAAAATTAGAAATTATTTTGAAATGAAAATGGACTTATAGAAGATCTGAATGAATATTAAAACACAGCATATCAAAATTTTAGGGATACCAGTAAAGCACTATGTGGAAGTATTTGTAACACTAAATATGTATATCCAAAAATTTAAAAACATCTCAAACCAATGACTTTAACCTTTAAAAACTAGAAAGAGAACAGTAAATTAAACCCAAGATAGGTGGAGGAAGAAATTAGTAAATATCTGAACAGAAATTACTAAACTAGAAAATGGAAAAATAATAAAGAAGGTTAATGAAATCAAGAGTTAATTCCTTGAAAAAGTCAATAAAATTAATGAAGTTCTCATGGCCAGTCTGATCATGAAAAAAGAGAGAGAGATGGTACAAAATAAAAGAATAGAAATAAAAGAAATAATATCACTACAGAACACATAAATCTTTAAAGGATATTTAAGGAATTATTATTTTAAAAACTTTTAAGCCAATAAGTGTGCAACTTAGATAAAATGGACAGATTTCTTGAAAGACACAAGCAATGAAACATGTTCAAGAAAAAATAGATTTCCAGAATAGCACTATATCAATAAATAAATGAAACTTGAAGTTAAGAACCTTCTTAGAAAAGAGAGAACTCTGGGAAGATGGTGGAGAAGAAATAATCAGAAATCGGCCTTCCGTCACTCCCAAGATAATAACTGCACTGGCAGAATTTGTCTGATATAAGTATTTTGGAACTCTGGAATCTACTGAAGAATTGAAGCTTTTAGGGGGAGACTAGAATGGTAAATGGTGATTAATTTTGGTCAATTATTATTATTTTTGAGACACAGTCTCGTTCTGTCACCTAGGCTGGAGTGCAGTGGTGCAATCTCAGCTCACTGCAAGCTCTGCCTCTTGGGTTCACGCCATTCTCCTACCTCAGCCTCCCTAGTAGCTGGGACTACAGGTGCCCACCACCACGCCCGGCTAATTTTTTGTATTTTTAGTATAGACGGGCTTTCACTGTGTTAGCAAGGATGGTCTCGATCTCCTGACCTCGTGATCCACACGCCTTGGCCTCCCAAAGTCCTGGGATTACAGGCGTGAGCCACTGCGCCCAGCCTAATTTTGGTCAATTTTAACTCAGCACAGTAGCAGCTACCCATGCCTCACCTCGTCATTTAGCCACATGGCAGGGAACTTTGCATATGTTCCTGGAGCAGCTTTCGTACAACTTAAGAGGGTGAGGGTGGGCAAAAAGGATGCTGTCTTCCCAATGTTAGAGATCTGTGCTCATATTGCTGATTGTTACTCTAAACATAAAGGTGCTGATAAAGAGGTGGCGACCATTGTTGCCACATCTCCCTTAATTATTGCAAGCCCCTTCCACTCTGGCTGGGGTGACTTTGAGAAGATGTAAAGGGCTGGCACATTTTTTCCTCCCTTCAATGTTCTTTTTTCTCCTTTTGGGAACCAGTTATTGAAAACAATGAAGTTCAAAGGCAACTACATATACAGGGGAAATAAGAAAGTTACTGTATATTTACAGGGAATATACAGAAAAAGCTCAGAGAAGACCTAAGGAGACCTTAAGTTTAAACCTAAATCTGATCCTCAACACATAGACACCCTACAACATTAGAAAAATAAATGAATGAATAAATAAATAAATAAATAAATAAATAAATAAATAAACAGTAAATATGGAGGAATGGGGAGAATCTGATTTCTAGAGTTACCACATTATTAGATTTAAATGTCAAGTTTTCAATAAAAGAGGAAAGTATTGCCCATTCAAAGGAAAAAATAAATTAACAAAAACTGCCCCTGGAAAAGACCTGATGTCTGATCTACTGGACAAAGGCTTCAAAACAACTGTTTTAAAGGTGCTCAAAGAACTAAAGGAAAAAAATAGAAAGTAAACAAAGATGTATGAATAAAATAGAAATATCAATAAAGAGATAGAAAACCTAAAAAGTAGAAATAAAAAACAATTCTGGAACTGAAAAGCACAATAAATAAAATAAGAAGTTCACTAGCAAGATTCAAAGGCAAATTTGAGCAGGCAGAAGAAAGAATCTACAAACTTGAAAACAGAAAATTGGAAATTATCAAGTGTGAGAACCAGAAAAAAAAAAAAAGGTTGAAAAGGAGTGAACAAATCCTAAGAGACCTGTGCAACACCATCAAGCACACTGACATATGCATTGCAGAAGTTTCAGGGAGAATGGAGAGAAAGTGGCAGAAAACTTATTTGAAGAAATAATGGCCAAAAACTTCCCAAATTTGATGAAAGACATAAATGTAAACATCATCCAAGAAACTCATTGAACTCCAAGTGGGATGAACTCAAAGAGACCCACTCTGTGACATGTAATCAAACCCCCTAAAGACAATCTAACAGCAATAAGAAAGAAGTGACTCAGCACACACTCACAAGGGATCCTCAATGAAAGTATCAGCAGATTTCTCATCAGAAACATTGGAAGTCAAAAGGCAGTGAGCTAACATTTAAAGTGCTAAAAGAAACAAACTACCAAGAATCCTATGTTAGGCAAAACATTACTTCAAAAGTGAGAAAGAAATTAAGACCTTCCCAGATACACAAAAGTTGAGAACTGCCCCACAGGTTGAAATGAAAACATACCAAACAGTAACTCAAAGCCATATGAAAAAATAAATATCTCAGTAAAGGTAAATATACAAGCAATTGTAAAAGCAGGTATTGTTGTAACAATGGTGTGTAACTTCACTTTTTGTTTTCTGTGTGATTTAAAAGACTAATACTTTTTAAAGAAACAATTATCAAATCAAAAAGCTAACATTATTCTACCTTTGATTTCTAACTCCACTCTTTGTTTTTTACATAATTCATGAAACTAAGGAATTTAAAAATTGTAAGTTTAGATTCTGGACACATAAGGTATGAAGACGTAATTTTGTGATGTCAACAACTAAAAAGCATGGAGATGAAGCTGTTAAAGGAGAAAAGCTGTTGCATGCTATTAATGTAAAGCTGGTATAAGTTAAATGTAATAATACTGTTGTGACTTTAAGATGTTAAATGTAATACTTATGATAACCACAAAGAAAATAGCTGAAGAATATTAACAAAAGGAAGTGAGAAATAAATTTAAACACTTCACTATAAAAAATCAGCTAAACACAAAAAAAGACAATAATTTGGGAAATAAGAAACGAAAATGCCTTAGGGCACATAGAAAACAAGTAGCCAAATGAAGAAAGTAAGTCCCTCTTTATTAGTACAGTCATGCATAATGCCATTTTAGTCAATGTTGAACCACATATATGACACTGGTTCTATATGATTAAAATTGAGCTGAAAAATATCTAACACCTAGTGACGTTATAGCCATTATAACATCATAGTGTAATGCATTACCTTCTCTATGTTTATGTATGTTTAGATATACAAATACTTACCATTGTGTTACATAGCCTACAGTATTCAATACAGCGACATGCTGTACAGGTTTGTAGCCTAGGAGCAATAGGCAATACCATGTAGATTAGGTGTATAGCAGGCTATACTATATAGGTTTGCATAAGTACTCTCAACTATGTTCACAAACAACAATGAAATTGCCTTAAAATGCATTTCTCAGCATGTTTCCCCATTGTTAAGTATGCATAACTGTAATTACATTAAATGTAAATGTATTAATCTCCCCAATCAAAAGACAGAGATTGGAAGAATGGATTAAAAAGCATGATGTAACTATATGCTATCTAAAAGGGACTAATTTTAGATTCAAAGACACAAATAGGTGAAAAGTAAAAGAGTGGAAAAGATATTCCATGCAAATAGTAACCAAGAGAGAACAGGGGTGACTGTACCAATATCAGACAAAATAGACTATAAATCAAAAAATTTCACGAGACATAAATTAGGACATTATATTTTAATAAAAGCTTCAATATGGTATGAGGATATAATGATTATAAACATTATACACCTAATAACAGACTATCAAAATATATGAAGCAAAAATTAACACAGTCAAAATAGGAGTAAATAATTCTATAATAATTGTTGATTTCAACATTCCACTCTAAATAATAGATATAACAACCATACAGAAGATAAGTAATGGAACAGAGCAATTGAATAACACAATAAACCAACTAGATCTAACAGACGTATACAAAACACCCTACCCAACAGCAATGAAATACACATTCTTCTCTAGTGCACACATTTTCCAGAATAGACAATCTCTTAGGCCACAAGTTGAGTCTCAGTGAATTTTCAGTGACAATGTACAATATCTTCATCAGTCACAAATGGATGAAATTAGAAATCAATAACAGGAGAAACACTAGAAAATTCACAAATTTGTGGAAATCAAACAACACTTTTTTTTGACAAACAATGGTTAAAAGAAGAAATCATTAGGGAAATTAGCAAATACTTAGAAACAAGTGAAAATGAAAACACAACATACCAAAACATGGTGAAAGCAGTGCTAAGGGGAAAATAGTAGCTGTAAATGCTTGCATTAAAAAAAGAAAGATCTCAGATTATCAATCAACCTTTACTACTTGAGAAACTAGAAAAAAAAAAAATCCCAAAGCTAGCAGAAGGAAAGGAATAATAAAGATTAGAGCAGAGATAAGAAAGAGAATAGAAAAATAATGGAGAATCAATGAAAGCAAAATTTATTACTTGAAAATATTAAGAAAATTGCAAATCTTTAGCAAAGTAAACAATAAGATAGATAAGAAATTAATAATAAGATAAAAACAAATCAATGAAATCAAAAATGAAATTGGGAACATTACTACTGATTCTATAGAAATGAAAAGAAGGATTCTAAGAGAGTACAATAAAAAATTGTACAATGACAAATACATAGGTGAAAATGGAAAAACTTCTAGCAACACAAAACCTACAAAGACTAAACTACAAATAAATAGAAAATCTGAATGGACATATAACTACCAAGAAGATTGAATCAGTAATTTAAAATTTTTTCAACAAAGGAAAGCTCTAGAACTGATGGCTTCACTAGTGAATTCTACCAAACACTTAAAGAAAAATTAATAGCAGTCCCTCTCAAATTTTTCCAAAACATTGAAGACAAGAGAACACTCTCTAATTCATTTGATAAGGCCAGCATTAACCCAATATCAAAACCAGACAAAGATACTATAAGAAAAAAAAAATACAGACAAATATCCTTTATGAGTATTGATGCAAAAATCCTCCACAAACGCAAGCAAACCAAATTCAGCTGCACATTAAATAAAGTATACAAAGTGAGGAAATGGGATTTATTTCTGGAATGCAAAGGTAGTTCAACATATGAAAATCAATATAATATACCACATTAACAGAATGAAGGAAAACAAACCATATGATCCTCTCAATTGAGGCAGAAAAGCATTTGAAAAATTCAACATTTTTTCATGATAAAAACACTAAATAAAGTGTAAAAGAAAATTATCTCAACATAATAAAAGCCATATATGAAAATCCCACAATGAACATTTTACTCAGTGATAAAAGACTGATAGTTTTTCTCTAAGACAATGCAAGAATGACCATTTTTGCCACTTCTATTTAAGGTAGTACTGGAAGTCTTAGCCACAGTAATCAGGAAAGAAAAATAAATAAAAGGCATCTAAATTGGAAGAAATTTAGTAAATTTAAAAGAGGATTATATCATCTGGTTGCACATCATCTGCAACCAGATAATATTATCTTATAGGAAAAAAAAGTAAAAAATTTGCAAAAAATCTATTAGAACCAATAAACAAACTCAGCAAAGTAGCAAGATACAATGATATCACATAAAAATCAGTTGCTTTTCTTCAGAGATGAGGTCTTGCTCTGTAGCCCAGGCTAGAGTGCAGTGGCATGATCACAGCTCACTACAGCCTTGAATTCCTGAGCTTTAGGGATCCTCTTGCCTCAGCCTCCTGAGTAGCTAGGACCACAGGAGGGTGCCAACATGCCTAGCTATTTTTTTTAACTTTTTTTTTTTGTTTTGTAGAGACAGAGGTCTAGCTATTTTGTCCAGGCTTGTCTCTAACTCCTGACCTCATAAGATCCTCCTTTCTTAGCCTCGTAAATTGCTGAGAACATAGGTCTGAGCCACCACACCTGGCACAGTTGAACTTCTATACACTAAAAATGAACAATCTGAAAAAGAAATTCAGAAAATTTTATTTACAATAACATGAAAAATAAAATATTTAGGATTAAACTTAAACATAAAGGTGAAAGACCTGTACAATGAAAACTACAAAACATCTCAGAAAGAAATTAAAGACAAATAAATAAAAGCAAATCCCATGTTAACAGCTTGAACAACCATGTTGTTAAGATGCCGATGCTACCCAGAGTGACTACAGATTCAATGCAACCCCTATTAAAACTGCAATGACATGTTTTGCAGAAATAGAAAAATCCATCTTAAAATTCATATGGAGTTTCAAGGTATGATGAGTAGCCAAAACAATCATGAAAAATAAGAACAAAACTGAAGGATTCACACTTTCTGATTTTAAAATTTACTGCAAATCTATAGCGATCAAAATAATGTGGAACTGGCATAGTGATAGACACAAAACCCAATGGAATAGAATAGATAATCCAGAAATAAAATCTCAGATATATGGTCAAATGGTTTTTGAGGAGGTGCCAAGACCATCCAATGAGGAAATTACAGTCTTTTAAACAAATGACACTATGAAAATTGGATATCTACATGCAAAATAATAAAGTTCAGTTCTCATCTAACACCATATACAAAAATTAATTCAAAATGGATCCATTACCAAATATAAGATCTAAAATGATAAAACTCTTAGAAGGAAACATAGGGCAAAAACTTCATGACACTGGATCTGGCAATAGTTTATTTGGTGTGATTCCAACGGACAGGCAACAAAAGCAAAAATGATAAAGTATACTTTATGAAAATTTAAAATTTTTATTCATCAAAAAACACTACCAACAGAGTTAAAGGCAACAGAATGCAAGAAAATATTTGCAAAATATATATCTGATAAGGAATTAATATCCAGAATATAGAGAGAACCCCTTAAAAACTCAACAACAAAAACACAAGCAACCCAATTCAAACATGGGCAGAGGACTTGAATAGACATTTCTCCAAGGAATATATGCAAATCACTGGTAAACAAATAAAAAGATACTCAAGATCACTAATCATTAGGGAAACACAATTCAAAACTATAATGAGATACCACCTCAAGTTCATTAGGATGACCATAATGCCTTTAGATGGTAGAAAATTTTATTAAGATTTATTAAATGAGATGCACACAATTTTTTTTCTTTAAGTAAACCTGAATTTGGTGCTTTTCCAAAAAAAAAAAAATAAGCTAAGATATATTTAGGATGTACTATTTACAGACCTCTGTTTGCCAATATAGAACTGCAAGAGATTATCTTTTTTTAACTTTTATTTAAAGTTCAGGGAACAGAAATACCATTCGACCCAGCAATCTCATTACTGAGTATATACCAAAAGAAACATAAATCATTCTATTATAAAGACACATGCATGTGTATATTCATTGCAGCATTATTCACAACAGCAAAGGCAAAGAATCAACCTAAATGCCCATCAGTGAGGGACTGGGTAAGGAAAATGTGGTATATATACACAATGGAACACTATGCAGCCATAAAAAAAGTATGAGATAATGTCCTTTGCAGGTACATGGGTAGAGCTAGAGGTCATTATCCTTAGCAAACTAACACAGGAACAGAAAACCAAATACTGCATGTTTTCACTTATATGTGGGAACTAATGATGAGAACACATGGACACATAGAGGGGAACAACACACACTGGGGCCTATTGGAGGGTGGAGAATGGAAGGTGGAAGGAGGGAGAGGACTAGGAAAAATAACTAATAGGCACTAAGCTTCATACCTGGATAATGAAATAATCTGTACAACAAACCCCCACAATACAAGTTTACCTAATTAACAAGCCATGATTTCTAAAAACAGTGACAACAAAACTGGAAAATAAGTGTTGGCAAGATTGTGGAGCAACTGGAATATTTGTGAACTGTTTGTGAAAATGTTAAATAGTGTAGGCTCTGTGGAAAACAGTATGGTAGTTCTCTAAAAATTTAATAACAGAATTACCATATTACCCAGTAATTCCACTTCTTGGTATACACCCAAAAGAATTGAAGAGTCTCAAAGAGATAGCCATGTTCATGGCAGCATTATTTAAACAGCGCCTCTACCTGGCCGCTCCGTCTGGGAAGTGAGAAGCGCCTCTGCCCGGCGCCCCCATCTGGGAAGCGAGGAGCGCCCCTGCCTGGCCACCCTGTCTGGGAAGTGAGGAGCGTCTCTGCCCAGCCACCCCACCTGGTAGGTGAGGGGCGCCTCTGCCTGGCCGCCCCGTCTGGGAGGTGAGGGGCGCCTCTGCCAGGCCGCTCCGTCTGGGAGGTGGGGGGCGCCTCTGCCCGGCCGCTCCGTCTGGGAGGTGGGGAGCGCTTCCGCCCGGCCGCCCCGTCTGGGAGGTGGGGAGCACCTCTGCCAGGCCGCCCCGTCTGGTAAGTGTACCCAACAGCTCCGAAAAGACAGCGACCATCGAGAACGGGCCATGATGACGATGGCGGTTTTGTCGAAAAGAAAAGGAGGAAAAGTGGGGAAAAGAGAGAGATCAGATTGTTACTGTGTCTGTGTAGAAAGATGTAGACATAGGAGACTCCATTTTGTTCTGTACTAAGAAAAATTATTCTGCCTTGGGATGCTGTTAATCTATAAACTTACCCCCAACCCCCTGCTCTCTGAAACATGTGCTGTGTCAACTCAGGGTTAAATGGATTAAGGGCCGTGCAAGATGTGCTTTGTTAAACAGATGCTTGAAGGCAGCATGCTCCTTAAGAGTCATCACTACTCCCTAATCTCAAGTACCCAGGAACACAAACACTGCTGAAGGCCGCGGGGACCTCTGCCTAGGAAAACCAGAGACCTTTGTTCACGTGTTTATCTGCTGACCTTCTCTCCACTATTATCCTATGACCCTGCCACATCCCCCTCTCTGAGAAACACCCAATAATGATCAATAAATACTAAATAAATAAATAAATAAATAAATAAATAAAAATAAAAATAAAAAATAAAAAAATAAAAATACTGTATTATTCCACTTACATGAAGTACTTAGAGTAGTCAAGATCATAGAGACAGAAAGTAGAATGGTAGTTGCTAGGGCTGGGAGGAGAGGGAATGGGAATTTATTGTCCAACGGCATAGAGTTTTGCAAAGAGTTCTGGAGGTGAGAGGTGGTGATGGTTGCACAATAGTGTGAATGTGCATAATGCCATTGAATTGTTTACTTTAAAATGGTGAAACTACTTTGTATAACATTATAATGGTGTATATAAGTCATTATACATCTGTCCAAACCCATAGACTGTATAACACCAAGAGTGAATCTGAATATTAACTCTGGGCAAGATGGCAGATAGGAGGCAGGACTAACCTGCAGCTCCTACTCGGACGGACAGAGCAGCGTGTGGAGACTCACACCATAAATTTTTGATCCAAGAGTGACCACAGGAACACACCAGGAAAGCCAAGAGAATCCACGGACGCTTTGTAGGAAATGGATCACCCCTTCAGGCTCCCTGAGATGCCAAAAACCTGCCAGTTTACTTGCTTTCTCAATGGGGAGGCTCATGGTCTGTGTCAAGTTCTTAGCTCTGGTCACCAACTTCCTGGAAATAGACTCAGTGCTGTTGGGAGTGAGACTGGCCTTTAGGACTGCAGGCTGCATGGGAGCAGGGTGAGGTCCGTGACTGCCAGCTTTCCCCCACTTACCTAGTTACCTGCATGACTCAGCAGAGGCAGCCATAATCCCTCTGGGAATATAACTCCATTGGACTGGGAACCACACCTCCATGCCCCACAGCAGCCAAAGCAAGCATTGCCTAAGGAGAGGCTGAGCTCAAACACACCTAACCCTGCCCCCATCTGTTGGTCTTTTTCTACTCACCCTGGTAGCCAAAGACAAAGGTCATAATCTCTTGGGAGCTCTATGGCCCTATCCATGGCCTGAGAAACCTGAATACTTAACCAGGTTTCCCTAGGGCAAGTTTACATCTTCCCTATAGGTGGCCAGATGATGCACTGTTTTTTTTTTTTCTTTCTTTTTTTTTTTTTTTTTGAGACAGAGTCTTGCTCTGTCGCCCAGGCTGGAGTGCAGTGGCACAATCTCGGCTCACTGCAAGCTCCGCCTCCCGGGTTCACACCATTCTCCTGCCTCAGCCTCCCAAGTAGCGTATAGGTGCACACCACCACGCTCAGGTAGTTTTTGTATTTTTAGTAGAGACGGGGTTTCACTGTGTTAGCCAGGATGGTCTCAATCTCCTGACCTCATGATCCGCCCGCCTCGGCCTCCCAAAATGCTGGGATTACAGACGTGAGCCACCACGCCCGGCTGCTGAGGCACTCTTGAAAGTGCCACCTCCTGGCTAGAGGCCAACTAATACAAAACCAGCGCACTAAACATTTTACACAACCATGGATCCTCACAGAGTCCACTTCACTTCCCTGTTACCTCTACCAGAGCAGGTGCTGGTATCTACGGCTATAAGACCTGAAGACGGATCACATCACAAGACTATTTGTAGACACTCCCCAGTACCAGCCCAGAGCCCAGCTGCTCTGCTGGGTGGCTAGACCCAGAAGAGCAAAAACAATCACTACAGTTTGGCTCTCAGGAAGCCCCATTTCTAGGCGAAGCGGGAGAACACCACAACAAGGGAACCCTGTGAGACAAAAGAATCTAAACAGCAGCATTTGAATCCCAGACTCTAACAGTCTACCCAAATGAGAAGGGACCAGAAAAGAAATTCTGGTTATATGACAAAACAAGGTTCTTCAACATCCCCAAAAGATCATACCAGCTCACCAGCAATGGATCCAGATCAAGACAAAAATCTCCGAATTACCAGAAAAAGAATTCAGAAAGTCAAGTATTAAGCTAAACAAAGAGGCACCAGAGAAAGGTGAAGTTCAACTTAAAGAAATCAAAAACTATGTTAAACATCCAAACCTAAGAATAATTAGTGTTCCCAAGGAAGAAGAGAAATCTAAAAGTGTGGAAAACATATGTGAGGGAATAATTGAGGGAAACTTCCCCAGCCTTGCTAGAGATCTAGACATCCAAATAAAAGAAGCCCAAAGAACACCTGGGAAATTCATCACAAAAAGGTCATTGTCTAGGTACAGAGTCATCAGGTTATCTAAAGTCAAGACAAAGGAAGGAATCTTAAGAGCTGTGAGGCAGAAGCATGAGGTAACTTATAAAGGAAAACATATCAGATTAATAGCAGATTTATCAGTAGAAACCCTACAAGCTAGAAGAGATTGGGGTCCTATTTTTAGCTTCCTTAAACAAAACAATTATAAGCCAAGAATTTTGTATCCATTGAAACTAAGTTTCATAAATAAAGGAAAGATACAGTCTTTTCCAGACAAACAAATGATGAGAGAATTCACCACTACCAAGCCAGCACTGCAAGAACTGCTAAAAGGAGCTCTAAATCTTGAAACAAATTCTTGAAATACACCAAAATAGAACCGCCTTAAAGCATAAATCTCATAAGACCAATATAACAATAACACAATACAAAAAAACCCAAGGTATTCAGACAACAATGTATAGGATAGTACCTCACATTGCAATACTAGTATTGAATATAAATGGCCTAAATGCTCCACTTAAAAGATACAGAATGGCTGGGTGCGGTGGCTCACACCTGTAATCCCAGCACTTTGGGAGGCCAAGGCAGGCGGATCACCAGGTCAGGGATCGAGACCATCCTGGCCAACATGGTGAAACCCTGTCTCTACTAAAAATAAAAAAAAAAATTGGCCAGGCGTGGTGGCAGGCACCTGTAGTCCCAGCTACTTGGGAGGCTGAGGCAGGAAAATGGCATGAACCCAGGAGGTGGAGCTTGCACTGAGCCGAGATTGCCCCACTGCACTCCAGCCTGGGTGACAGAGCGAGTCTCCATCTCAAAAAAAAAATATCTATATCTATATCTATATATACACACACACACACACATATATATATACAGAATGGTAGAATGGGTAAGAATTCACCAATCGAGTTTCTGCTGTCTTCAGGAGACTCATCTAACATATAAGAACTCACATGAACTTAAAGTAAAGGGGTAGAAAAAGATATTTCATGCAAATAAACACCAAAAACAATCAGGAGTAGCTATTCTTATATCAGACAAAACAAACTTTAAAGCAACAGCAGTTAAAAAAGACAGAGAGGGGCTGGGTGCAGTGGCTCATGCCTGTAATCCCAGCACTTCGGGAGGCCAAGGCTGGCGGATCACCTGAAGTCAGGAGTTCAAGACCAGCCTGGCCAACATGGTGAAACCCTGTCTCTACTAAAAATACAAAAATTAGCTGGGCATGGTGGTGGGTGCCTGTAATCCCAGATACTCAGGAGGCTGAGGCAGGAGAATTGCTTGAACCCAGCTGGCGGAGGTTGCAGTGAGCTGAGATCACACCGCTGCACTCCAGCCTAGGGGACAGAGCAAGACTCTGTCTCAAAAAAAAAAAAAAAAAAAAAAAGCAATTTTTAACAATATTAACACTGGGCTCTGGGTGATAATGATGTGTCAATGTAGGTTTATCATTTGTAACAAATATATTGGTCTGGGAAATCTCCATACCTCCTGTACAATTTTGCTATGAATCTAAACCGGCTCTAAAAATAAAGTCTATAAAAATAATTTTTAAAAATAGAAAAAAGGTTAATATAATAAACTTTATGTTATGCATATTTTATCTGAATAAAAAAATGGGAAAAAATTATCCCCAAAAAAGAAAACTTTAGGTCCACATAGTTTTGCTGGTAAATTCTATGAAATGTTTAAGGAAAAATTCATACCAATTCTAAAAAAACTAGTCCAAATAATTGAAGAAATTATTCCTCACTTTCTATTAGATACAAAATCTGGAAAAAGACGTTAAAAAAAAAGAAAAGAACAGAGCAATATCCTTCATGAAAATAGATACAAAAATATTAAATAAAATTTAGCAAATTGAATCCAAATCAAGTTTTGTCCCAGAAATGCAAGATTTGTTTAACATTTAAAAATTGATAAATGTAATTTATCATGGTAAAAAACTAAAAAAGAAAATCTATTATGATCTTCTCGGTTGATACAGAGGGAAGCATCTGACAAAATCCAACATTTATTCCTGATAAAACTCTCAGCACACTAGGAATAGAAGGGAATTTCCTTAACCTAATAATCATCACCTATGGAAATTCTATGGCTAATATTATTTTCAGTAGTGAAAACTGAATGCTTTCCCCTTAAAAAGGGGAATGAGATAATGATGTCTACTTTTATCTCTTCCTTTCAACATTGTGCAAGATATTTTAGCTACTAAGCCAAGAGTAGTTATACAAAACACATCCTGATTGGTAAGAGAAAAGTACAATTGTCTTTATCTGATGGCAGTGTGATCACTTCTGTAAAAACTTCAATGAACAATAAGCTAATAAAAAAAGCTAAGTGAGTTAGCAAGGCTGCAGAATAAAAGATCAATATAAAAATTCAATTGTATTTCTAACTGTTCCCAATGAACGTTACAAATTGAAATTTTTAAAACTATGAAAATACCGTCAATTAATACCAACTACTTACATATGAGTCTGACAAAAGATGCTCAAGCCATGCAAACTGAAAACTGTAAAATATTACTGAGAAAAATTAAAGAAAACCTAAATAAGTACAGAACTGTTTCTGTTCATGGATGAGGAGACTCAATATTTTGTAATGCAGATATGCTGCAAATTAATATATAGATTCAATGTATTCCCAGTCAAAATTTCATCAAGCTTTTATGTACAAATTGATAAGCTGATTCTAAAATTTGCTGGAAATTTAAGGGACCTAGAAAAGCCAAAGCAATTTTATAAAAGAAAAACAAAGAGGATTAGCTCTACCTAACTTCGAGACTAAGGTTAAAGTAATAAAGACAGTGTGGTATTGGTATTAAGATAGACAAATAGGCTGGGCGCGGTGGCTCACTCCTGTAATCCCAGCATTTTGGGAGGCCGAGGCTGGCAGATCACAAGGTCAGGAGATCGAGACCATCCTGGCTAACACGGTGAAACCTGTCTCTACTAAAAAAAAAAAAAAAAAAATACAAAAAATTAGCCAGGTGTGGTGATGGGTGCCTGTAGTCCCAGCTTCTTGGGAGGCTGAGGCAGGAGAATGGTGTGAACCTGGGAGGCGGAGCTTGTAGTGAGCCGAGATCGCGCCACTGCACTCCAGCCTGGGCAACAGAGCAAGACTCCATCAAAAAAAAAAAAAAATAGACAAATAGATCAATGGACCAAACCAGAGTCCAGAAACAGGCCCATACATATAGAGACAACTGATTTTTTGGCAACAGTGAAAAGGCAATTCAGTGGAGAAAAGATAGTCTTTTGACAAATGGTGCTAGAACAATTGGATAATGGCATGCAAAATATAAACTTTGGTTCGCACCTCACATCATATACAAAAATTAGCTAAAAATTGATCCTAGACCTAAATGCAAAACCAAAAGCATTAACACTTGTAAAACACATAGAAATTTTTTGTGACTTTGCATTAAACAAAGATTTAATTGATATGAAACTGAAAGAATAATCCATTAAAAGTTAATAAATTGTATTTTATAAAAATTAAAATGTGTGACCTTTAAAAGTTACTGTTAAAAAATGCAAAGATAAATCACAGACTGGGAGAAAATATTTGCAAATAATATCTGTAATAAGGCAATTGTTACAGATATTATTTGTATTATTTGAGAGTTCTTCAGATAATATAAAGAACTCTCAAAACTTAAGAGTAAGAAAAAAATTCAATTGTTAAAATGGAAAAATTATTTGAAGAGACACATCACAAAAGAATACAAGTGTATGGCCAAGAGGCACATGAACAGATGCTCAAATGTATTAGTCATTGGGTAAATGAAAATTAAAACCGCAAGATTACAGTACATTCCTATTAGAACAGCTAAAATTAAAAATGCTGGCCATACCAAGTGTTGCCAAGGATGTGGAGCACTAGAATTCTCAGACAATGAGGATGGAAATGTAAAATGGTGCAGTCACTTTGCAAAACTGTTTGCCATCATTTAAAAGTTGTAAAAGTATATGTATTATATACCTAGCAAGTCCACTCCTAGTTATTTACCCAATAAAAATAAAAGAATATGTCCAAACAAAGACACAAAAAATTTGTAGCAGGATTGTTTTCAATAATCCCAAAATGGAAACAACCCAATATGTCCATCAACAGGTTACACCGCATGTTCTCACTCATAGGTGGGAATTGAACAACGAGAACACTTGGACAAAGGAAGGGGAACATCACACACCGGGGCCTGTTGTGGGGTGGGGGGAAGGGGGAGGGATAGCATTAGGAGATATACCTAATGTAAATGACGAGTTAGTGGGCACAGCACACCAACATGGCACATATATACATATGTAACAAACCTGCACGTTATGCACATGTACCCTAGAACTTAAAGTATTATATATATATATAAATATATATATAAAAACAGGTTAATGGATAAATTTTAGTATATCCATATAATGAAATACTACTCAGCAGTAAATAAGAACAAAGTGTTGTTACATACAGCTACATGAATAAATCTCAGAATAATTAAGCTGAGTGAATGAAGATAGATAAAAAGGCTAAACGATATGATTCCATTAATTATAAAACTCCAGAAGATGCAAATTTCCCTGTAACAGAAAGCAGATCAGTAATTGCCTCTGGGCAAATGAAATGAGGGCAAGTAAGAAGGAATGAGAAGGGTATTCAGGAAACGTTTGCAGAAAATTGATGTGTTTACTATCTTGAAAGTGTAAAGGTTTTATAGAGATACATATATGTATATATGCCAAAACTTATGAAATTGAACACTTTAAATATATGCAGTTTATATTACATCAATTTGCCTCAATAAAATCGATTCTAGAAAGAGAGTTATATGGAATTCAGGCTGTAGCTAGACAGAAAGATTTTGTAGCTACCATCCTAGTGGTGATAGCTTAGGAGTTCCTGCAAATAAATTCAAGGTGCCACAATTCTTCTAATATATGCAGAATTTGAGTGCCCTAGGTTATTTATAGTCAACTGCTGGGGATTGAATCCCAGCTATATTAAGTTGGAAAGTGTGGCTCTTTGGCAAGTTTTCTTATCCAGCTTCATGGAGTTGTTGTGAGGATTTAATAGATCAAATAGTAAGTGCTCAATAAATGTTACGAGCACATGTTATAAAATGGTTTATTATTATGTCAATATTTGAAGGAGGAGTTTCATTGCTTTGGTCAGCTACTTAAAGTCTATGACTCAGAAAGTCAGCAACTTCTCTGATAATTGAAGCTATGGAAGAGAATGAGTGACTCAAAGACAGAGTGAAAGGTAGAGGAAATAAATGAGAACAGAACCTTGGGGGAATGTCTGAGCTTAAGAGGAAAGAGATGGAAGAGGAACTAGATAAGAAAACTGAGAAGTGATACAAAGGTGGGAGGAAAGTAGGAAATGGTGGGGTCACAGAGTATAAGAGGAAATATTTTCAAGAAAAGAAAAATTCTCAAATGCTGCAGCCATGAAAAAGAAGCTCAAACATAAGAAAAGGCCATTGGATTTGGCAATAATGAATTCATGTTGTCCTTTGAGACAGCAATTTCATCAGAGGGATGGGGAAGCAAGACACATGGTATGGGGCTATGAATTAGTGGTTAGGCAGTGTAGCAATTAACGCACACCACTTTTCAAGAAACTTAGAGATGCATAGAAGAAGAACAATAAGATTATTAGCTCCAGGCAGGGCTAAGAGGGTATTTCCAGTGTTAGGGAGTACCTGAGCATGTTTTCAGGCCTAGGTGAGGGGACAGAAAAACTTAAAAAAGACTAAGTGAACTCTTTCAAAGCCAAGTTTTGAAAGAAATAAAAGAGGATAGGAAATAAAACACAGATGGAAGTCTTAGAAAATACCAAAGACCTTATGTTTTAAGAAAGCTGGAATGAAAAATATAAAAAACAAGAAAAGGAAGAGGGAGGACAAGAGAAGGAAAGTTGAGAATCCTGGTATCCTATGGCTGCAACTACACTAAAGTAAGCACCATAGTCATAATCAGAAAGAGAACTAGACTGGCACTGATGACATCAGAAGAATGAGAACCAATTTGAATTATCAAGAGTTAGATATTATCACATAAGTGACGTGCTATATGTATGTTGGTTGAAGAATTTAAAGATATAAAGTATATTGCAACCTCACATACCTGACAACATATTATCACTGACTCAAATTTATTTCATTTATAATAAATAATTATCCTAATGCCAAGAGCTACAAGCAATCAATGACCAAATGCACAACCATGAAATAAGGAATGTGACCATTAGATACATTGGTAAAAAGATAATACCTCTTGGTTCTAGTTCCAATTCTGTCACATGGCCTCGGATTTGATGCTTTGCCTCACTAAGCCCCAGCATTCATCGTACAGGTCCATTGAGGTCTAACATGGTAAAAATCAAATATACTTATAAATGTACTTTATTTGCTTGTAGATTGAATGACTGGCATGTTATTTTATCTCTAGAGATGATATTATCCTTGGCTTAATGAGGCTTGCAAAGTTGTTTTTCTTTTAATCCAAGACAAAATATGCTATTCCCATCAGTAGATGAGAATAAATGATTGAGAAAGCTCAAAGTCAACGGCCAATCCTCTATACCTTGGGAGCTCAAACTAGTAGAGTCCTGCAGTCACTCTTAATTTCCAGCATATGAAGCTGACAAAGTCATTTGACTGACTTCTTATGCCTCCTCTGTCACAGAGGCAGCCACTGCCCCTCTGATATTATGTAGGTCACTCTAAACACTATGCAGAGTTTTATTTTAGAAATAAAATTTCATGCTATGTAACTACACGATATATTCCAGGGAGCCTGACTGCACATCAAGGAAAAGGGGTGCTTTGTTTCAGAAGGACTAGAATATAGCAGATAAGTATGAAGTTTCTGGAATCAGAACACCTGAGTTTTAATTCTGACCTCACTGCCTACTAAGTACAGCATAATCCCTCTAAGCCTCCTTTTCTCATCAGTAATATAGCACTGTTAAAATTTTAGTGTGCATATGCATAGAATATGCTTATGATAACATCTGACACATAGTAAGCAGTGAATGTTAATCTTTATAGAAATATGCTGAATTTGGGGTATTTTTTTATCAGTGAAGATCTCTTCTGTTTGGATAATTATATATTATATTTACAGCCTGAATAAAAATTAGTTTTAATCTCCTTGAAAAAGCCATGCTTTCCAAACAAGGGGCAGAAGGAAATCCTCTATATTTTTCCTGGTCTTGTCTTTTTAAATCCATGAGGCTCTAGAAGGCAAAGAAGTAACTAATGATCTGTAGCAGGCAGCCCAGCCTGTGTGGCATTTTGCTATAATAATTTATTGTTCACAGCAACAATAACAACAACAACTCACCACCAAATTCTGGAGAGTAGATTAGGGCTCTTCTATCACTTGAATGTTTAAATAAGAAATAATCACAAAAAGGAAGAGGGTTAGAGGATATATATTCATCTTTGTTTATAAAATTGATGAGAAAGGTTATTTTTAAAGAGAAACTTAACTTTATTAGTCAATTTTAGATTCTGAAGAAAAAATCTTCATGATAAAATCAAAATCCTAACTGATTTTTAAAAACTGAACAAAAACATGTCAGTATCTTGAATACGGTTTACATATATGCATTCCCATTTATTGGCCAAGTGACAAAAACTTCCATCAATCAGTTCAACAAGCATTTATTGAATGTCTACTGTGTGCTAATCATTTTTCCAGAATTAATGATATAAACATATATCATTATATAATGGCTAACAACTAGAAAGAGAGCCACAACTAAAATGCTGTTAATAAATACTAAAACTAGTACAAACTGATTCTAAGGGAACACAGAGAAGAGATATCTAGCTCAGTCTGAGAATCTGAGGTCATGTCAACAGGGTTGAAACAGGGTCCTGAAAGGCTGTTAGGAGTTAGCCTGAGACGCATGGTGGGGGAGAGTGTTCCAGAGAGAGGAGCAGCATGTGCAAAATCACAGAGGTGAGAGAAGCAAAAGTGGTTTGGTATGTCTAGATAATTGGTTCTCAAGGGGGGAGGAATTAGGAGAAGCAAAAAGAGATCATGAGTTTCTTTTTTTTTTTTTTCAAACTACATGTGTCCTCCCCGTTTTCCCATTTTTATATGGTCCCACAAAGGGCCATTGTAATGAAATGAAGGTTTGTGTCTCTCTGAACTTCATATGCTGAACCCCTAACCCTCAGTGTGGTGGCATTTGTATTTGGGGCCTTTGGTTTGCATCAGGTCATGAGAGTGGGGTCCCCATGATGGGATTAGTAAGAGGAAGTAAGGCCTGAGCTCGCTCTCTTACTCTGCCATGTGAGAACATAATAAGAACGTGGCTGTCCGCCAGCCAGAAAGAAAGCCTTCACCAGACATTGAATCTGCCAGCAACTTGATCTTAGACTTCCCAGCCTCTAGAACTGTGAGAAGTAAGTGTCTGTTGTTTAAGCCACCCATTATATGGTATTTTGTTATAGCAGCCCAAGAAGACTAAGACAGCCATTTAATAGGGGACATTTGAAAAATCTTCTAAAGTTAATCTGATCAACCTTGCCCTAAACTTTTCCTCCACCTCCCTCCCACCCACCTACTCCTCTCCACCCCGTAGGGACCAATGGTCAAGGCATCGCTTGATATTGAGGTGCGTTAGTATAGAGGCTAAAGTAGGCAGAAGACTGCTTTAGAAATCAATATGCCAAGCTGAATAGCTTAGAGTTTAAGTTGAAACAATAGAATAATTAAGCCAGAATGTAAAATAATAATAATAATAAATGTGCATGTTAGAAGATGATTCTGTCATAATTATAAAGTAAGGGTTAGCAAACTTTCTGTAAATGGCCAAGTAGTATTTTAGCTTTTGCAGGGCATACCAGTCTGTGTTGCAACTGCAGCTAGAACTAGAGCTTTTGCAGGCCATACCAGTCTGTGTTAACTCTGCAGCTCGAGCACGAAAGCAGCCATAGATAGCATGTGAATTAAGGGATATAAGTGTATTCTAAGAAAACTTTACTTACAAAAGCTGTCAGTTGTAATAAGCAGAATTTGAACCTGCTATAGAGAATGAACTGGAGAAGATAAGACTAAGCTAGAGTCAGATATTCCAATAACATAGTTAGTGTAATTGACCAAGTAAGAAATGAAGAGGATTGAAGGGAGTCATTCGCAGAGGAGATAGAAAAGGGAATAGAATTTAAATATATACAAGAGGTAGAAACCATAGATCTTACGACCAATTGAATACAAAAGGAAATGATAATGGAAGTCCAAAGCATGGACATGACTTGAATGGACAGTGTACATGTGATAGACCCCAATGAATAATGGCAAACCTTGTGGACACAGAGCTGTCGCTGAAGAGAATATAGTATATGAGAAAGCTCTGCTCTCTGGCCACAAACCACAGCCTTGGCCAAAGTGGTCATCCAGGAGCAGCTACATAATTTCCAGGACCCACTGCCAAATGAACATGCAGGACCCCCCCGCCCCCTGTTGCTCAAAATGATTAAGAATTTCAAGACAATGAAAGTAAAGCATTAAACCAAGCATAGGGCATTTCTAGGTGCTGGACCTTGTGTGACTGCACAAATCACATGACCCTGAATCTGACCCTGCTCCATCTCCAGCTCATGTACTAGCTTTAGTATGTCTATAATAAGGAACCTTTTTCTTAGAGTCCAAACTTCTTAATTTACCTCCACAGCCCATTTTTTTGTAGTCTCCAAATCTGCTACATAGACACAACAGCTGTATTTCAGTAGTGATTTCAGCTTAAAGGAGGTTTTCTTTTTTTTCCTTATCCTAACTCACATTTAAGATTATAGCAGAATGGCAATATGCATTGTCCATGACTGAGAATGAATTTTGGAGGTGAGTTTTTCTCTGCATCATTTGACAAGTGCATTTTGGGAGTTTCTTTGAAAATGAATGCAAACACCGAAGTTTCAGACAGCAAACTGTGCTCCAAGGCTGGTGTTTCTTTAGAGATCTGTGGATGTCCTAGAAGATCAAACCTACCAGGAATCTTGGAGAATATCCTGCAGTCAGTGAAGAAGACTTTCTCTGACCAGAAGTCCGGAAACATATGCTGTCTGTGCAGTTCAGCCACCATTATTTTGTGCCTTTAATCAACTCAACATTTTGTAGTACATCTTCCTCACTGATGACACATGAGACCTGGATCTTCAAGATCTGAAATTTAAGGCCAGGCACAGTGGCTCACGCCTGTAATCCAAGCACTTTGGGAGGCTGAGGCTGGTGGATCACTTGAGGTCAGAAGTTCGAGACCAGCCTGGCCAACATAGTGAAACCCCATCTCTACTAAAACAAAAAAAAAGAATACAAAAATTAGTCGGGTATGGTGACATGCACCTGTAGTCCCAGCTACTCAGGAGGCTGAAGCATGAGAATCGCTTGAACCTGGGAGGCAGAGGTTGCAGTGAGCCAAGATCGCGCCACTACACTCCAACTTGGGTGACAGAGAGAGACTGTCTCAGGAAGAAAAAAAAAATCTGAAGTTCACTTTTTGTATTATGTTTGTTGCCATTACATAAAGCTTCTAAGGATCTATCGTGACTAGATGTTGGATAATTTATACGCAAAACAAAGAGCAAATGAAAATAAAACTGTCACCCTAGCCAATTTCAGTGTTTATACATATATACTCCATTTATAATCAATTACCTCCTTTTGTACCAAAATATATTATTTTCTATTCAGAGAAGGGTGAGGCTAGCTACCCACATGCTAAAAATCTGATAGAGAGGCCACATATACAGAGTTGCTGGATAAAAAACACAGAATGCTAAGTATTTGCAAATATTTCCAACATATGTATACTTTAAAATGTGTTGTTTATTTGAGATTCAAGAAGTGTATGCCCTGTATTTTTATTTGCTAAATCTAGGAAACCTATACCTATGCTGAGTGGGAAACCAAGCCATATGGCTTCTAAAGTCCCCTCTAGCCCTGAAATACTCAATTGTGATATGATTTTTACCATTTCCAGTAAACTAAACTAAGACCAAACAGTAGAATTTGAAGGAGGGAAGATAGTGACTCAATAGAAGAAATCTGTTTATCAAGCAAAGCTATCAATTGTGGACCCAAGCACAATCCATTTGATCAGAACCCCATCCACAGACCACAGTATTCGCTAATATAGAGGCTAGACCAATGGTCTACAAAGTGCGGAATGCCTTCCCACAGGAAATACTCATGGCAACCCATTGAAGTGAAGGAAGCAAAAATGAGAACATGTAATTTTTTTTAAAAAGAAGGAAGTACTTTGCTATAAATTAATAGAGAAATTGAGCCTGGTCCTCTGTCAGGAGGTAAAGATATTCGGAAGGACCTGTGACAGTTTCACAACACAAGGGTTCAACAGAGAAATGCATATATTCATTTTCTGCACTATTAAAACAGATGAATAAAAATATTTTTCATTTCTGAGCTTTGTTTTGCCACATAGGATGCAGTACCTTTAAAAAACTTTAAAGCATCATTTTCTAAACTTAAATTTTACCGTGAAATTTCTGCAGGGTGTGAACTAATTTTTAAAAATATAAAACTGTAAAATCTTCCAGTTATTATGCAGCAATACCCGATGGACATCGGAAGTGCCAGGAATTTAATGGAAACATTTAAACAAAAACTTTTGCATAGTTGGTAGATAAAATATACCATGATTTAATAAGCACAGATAATAATATATTTCTTCTTTTGGATATATATATATTAATGTAGCTTACATGTTTGAGTTATGACAATAATTAAAACTAAGTATCAGAATTGTTTTATGATATAAATTTTTAACAATAATGAAATATATTCTTAATAATTTTCTCATAAGAAAATATTCTTACATATCAATAAAAAAACATTTTTGATATTTTACTTTACATAAAAATATTTCAGGGAAATTGAAATGTTTTGAATCATTCATAAATGAAATGAAACATATTATAAATTATATTTGTTTAATATTTGCCTTATCCTTTAATCTCCAATTTTGTAAATATTTTATATTTGATTACATTTAAAATTTATATAATTTATAAACCAATAACATTCAGAAATCAGAGGTGAAGGTATGAAAATTTCTACTGATTGTTGTGTACTAAAATGCATATTCAGTGGCCTGCACAACTATCTATTGGAGGCACTGAGAACATACCTAAATCGGTTGAAGACTTATTCTAAATAAGCTCTATGACTTGTCATTGTGTTTTTGTTTGTTTTTTTTTTTTACCATCCTAAGTTTATTATTTGCAGCAATTCTACATTATTCCAGGTAAAACTACTCTTTCTTTTGGAGGAGTCGTAACTCTCCTGTTTTTGTAAATAAAGTTTAATTTGGAAACCCAGGCCAGAACTATTCTTAAATTGCTTTTTTGCTTCAAAATTTAGTGGGAGATGAGCACCACTGTTAATATCTAATTTAATAACTTCTACTATAGATTAAACCTATTTCCTCTTATTAAACATTGATAAAATACATATGACTCTGAACTTGAATATGATTGCTAGATCCTTATCTGTAAAACATAATTTTGTCATTTATAATTTGATTTTAAAAAATGTTATCTATTCTTTCTCTCCTTTTTGTTAACTTGTCTACTTTTTGTATTAGTGCATTTGTGGAGCAATCAGTTTTTTAAATAATCATTTTATTTTGTACTTTGGAAAAAGGAGTTAGCCAATACATTTAGAAAATATTAGATGTAGGAAAAAATAGAAAGTGGATAACTTAGAGTTGCTTAAAATTGCTGTGAATCCCATCAAAAAGCTTATCCACCATGACCAAGTAACTTTTTTTTTTTTTTTTTGAGTCAGACTTTTGCTCTTTCGCCCAGGCTGGAGTGAAGTGCTGTGATCTTGGCTCACTGCAAACTCCACCTGCTGGGTTCAAGCGATTCTCCTGTCTCAGCCTCCTGAGCAGCTGAGATTATGGTGCTCGCCACCATGCCCAGCTAATTTTTTTTGTGTGTGTGTATTTTTTAGTAGAGACAGGGTTTCAACATGTTGGCCAGGCTGGTCTTGAACTCCTAACCTCAGGTGATCCACCCGCCTCGACCTCCCAAAGTGCTAGGATTACAGTCATGAGCCACTGTGCCCAGCCTGATCAAGTAAGCTTTATTTGAACTAAAGACAATAGCCACATGGCTCTCTCAATAGATGCAGAAAAAGGCTTTTGATAAAATTCAACACCCCCTTCATGTTAAAAAAAAAAACAAAACTCTCAATAAACTAGGTTTCAAAGGAACATACCTCAAAATAATGCAAGCTATCTATGACAAACCCACAGCTAACGTCATACTGAATGGGCAAAAGCTGGAAGCATTTCCCTTGAAAACCAGCACAAGACAAAGATGCCTTCTCTCACCACTCCTATTCAACATAACACTGGAAGTTCCGGCCAAAGAAATCAGGCAACAGAAAGAAATAAAGGGCACCTGATATGGTTTGGCTCTGTGTCCCCACCCAAATCTCATGTCAAATTGTAATCCCCACATGTTGGAGCAGGGGCCTGGTAGGGGGTGACTGAATCATGGGGGCAGCTTCCCCCATGCTCTTCTCATGATGGTAAGTGAGTTCTCCTGAAATTTGGTTGTTTGAAAGTGTGTAGCACTTCCCCGCTCTGCTCTCTCTTTCCTGCCTCCACCTTCCATCATGGTTGTGAGTTTCCTGAGGACTCCCAGCCATGCTTCTTGTACAACCTGCGGAAATATGAGTCAATTAAACTTCTTTTCTTCATAAATTATCCAGTCTCAGGTAGTTCTTTATAGCTATGTGAGAATGGACTATACAGTATCCAAATAGGAAGAGAGGACTTCAAACTCTCTCTGTTTGCAGATGACATGATTCTATATTAGAAAACCCCATAGTCTCAGTCCAAAAGCTCCTTCAGCTGATTTGCAACTTCAGTGAAGTCTCAGGATACAAAATCAATGTTCAAAAATCACTAGCATTCTTATACCTCAACAATAGACAAGTAGAGAGCCAAATCAAGAAGGCAATCCCATTCACAACTTCCACAATCAAAATACAATATCTAGGAATACAGCTAACTAGGAAGGTAAAAGATCTCTGCAATGAAAAATACAAAATACTGCTCAAGAAAATCACGGATGACACAAACAAATGGAAAAATAATCCATGCTCATAAATAGGAAGAAAAAAATCATTAAAATGGCCATACTGACCAAAGCAATTTATAGATTCAATACTATTTCTGTCAAACTACCAATGACATTCTTCACAGAACTAGAAAAATCTACTTTAAAATTCATACGGAATCAAAAAAGAGCCTGAATAGCCAAGGCAATCCTAAGCAAAAAGAACAAAGCTGGAGGCATCACACTATCCAACTTCAATCTGTACTACAGGCCTACAGTAACCAAAACAGCATGGCACGAGTACCAAAATAGACACATTGGCCAATGGAACAGAATAGATAGCCCAGAAATAAGGCCATACACCTACAATCATCTGATCTTTAACAAAGCAGACAAAAACAAACAAAGAGGAAAAGGCTCCCTATCCAATAAATGGTGCTGGGATAACTAGACAGCCATATGCAGACGATTGAAATTGGACCCCTTCCTTACACCATATACAAAAATCAACTCAAGATGGATTAAATACTTAAATGTAAAAATGTAAACTATAAAAAGGCCGGAAGAAAACTAAGCAATACCATTCTGGACATAGGAATGGGCAAAGATTTCATGATAAAGATGGCAAAAGCATTGCAACAAAAGCAAAACTTGACAAATGGGATCTAATTAAACTAAAGAGCTTTTGCACAGCAAAAGAAATTATCAAGAGAGTAAATAAATAACCTACAGAATGGGAGAAAAATTTTGCAAACTATGCAACCAACAAAAGCCTAATATCCAGCATCTATAATGAACTTAAACAATTTACGAGAAAAAAAAAAATCCAAATACCATTAAAAAGTGGGCAAAGGACATGAACTGACACTTTTCAAAAGAAAACATACAGCTGGGCGCAGTGGCTCATGCCTGTAATCCCAGCACTTTGGGAGGCCGAGGCAGGTGGATCACCTGAGGTCAGGAGTTCGAGACGAGCCTAGCCAACCTGGTGAAACCCTGTCTCTACTAAACAAAAAATTAGCCAGTTGTGGTGGTGGACACCTGTAATTCCAGCTACTCGGGAGGCTGAGGCAGGAGAATCGCTTGAATCCAGGAGGCAGAGGTTGTGGTGGGCTGACATCACGCCATTGCACTCTAGCCTGGGAAACAACAGCGAAACTCCGTTTCAAAACGAAAAAGACATACATGCAGCCAAAAAGTGTAAGAAAAAAAGCTCAACATCATCAATCATTAGAGAAATGTAAATCAAAGCCACAATGAGATACCATCTCATACCAGTCAGAATGACTATTATTAAAAAGTCAAAAAATAAAAGAGAAAAAGGAATGCTTATACACTTTTGGTGGCAGTGTAAATTAGTTCACCCACTGTGAAAAGCAGTGTGGCGATTTATCAAAGATCTAAAAACAGAACTACCATTTGATCTAGCAATGCCATTACTGGGTATATACCTAAAAATATAAATCATTCTATTATAAAGACACATGTATGTGTATGTTCATTGCAGCACTATTCACAATAGCAAAGACATGGAATCAACCTAAATGTCTATCAGTGGTAGATTTGATAAAGAAAATGTGGTACATATACACCATGGAATACTATGCAACCATAAAAAAAGAATGAAATCATGTCCTACGCAGGAACATGGATGGAGATGGAGTTCATTATCCTTAGCAAACTAATGCAGTAACAGAAAACCAAATACTGTATGTTCTCACTTATAAGTGAGCTAAATGATGAAAACATGTGGACACAGAGGGAAACAACAGACACTGAGGCCTACTAGACCATAGAGGGTGGGAGGAGGGAGAGGATCGGGAAAAATAACTAATGGGCACTAGGCTTAATACTTGGGTGATGAAGTAATCTGTATGTGTATCCCTGAACGTAAACTAAAATTTAAAAAAAGTGCTGTGAATTCTTGAAGACCTGAAAAGAAATAAATTGGACTAGAAATCACATGAATTTAGAGGTTAGTAATATGCATAAATGTGATCATTTGAGCAGTAGCAATCCATCCCAATAATAAAAAGATAAAAGTCTTCTTTAACTTAGGAAAGACATAGATTATTATTTGTTATAACTTTGTAACAAATGAAAATGATTCTCAATATCATGACTAGGCCATATTTTATAGGCAAATTATAATAAACAAAAATGTTTTAGGAATCGAAATTGTTGGACGTCATTTTTCTAAGAAAGAGAGACACAATATAAATGATGTATAGACAGAAAAACAACATATATATTGGGCTGTTTTTAACCTGCCTAAAGTAATTGCACTTTCTAAAATAACTACCTTTATTAATGCTTATCAAGAAAACTCTCTATAAAGTGAAGAAAGGGAAAAGCTTTCAAATGGCTCACTGAATTACTCTACAGTGACAGCAGATTGTGCAGGATAAATGAGCCCTGGGCCTGAATGCTCTCAGATCTTGCAGGGGATGTTGTGGCTTCTTAGGGTTTCAGACTTGAATATGGACCTCTATTGTATTTTGCACTTGCTATATGAGGTACTGATAAATTGTCGCAAGTATTGTGGTTACCTAAACCACCTTGAGAAATATGAAGAAGTAAAGGAGGGAGAGAGCACAAAAGTAGAGGCCCAAATGAAGTATTTTAATGTCATAAATTTACTGTTTTCTGTCCTTTTTTGGGGACCATAAGCACCTCTTCCAGCATCATCAAAGCACTTTTCCTCAAGCTAATTTTATTCTATTTAAAGGAATATATGGAGATCTTGCATTCTAAATTAAGTCTTAGCTCCTAGCACTTCATTCCTATCTATCTGAAAAACTTATCCTTGAAGATCCAGCTCATATCTTACCTCTTCTGTGACAACATCCATAAGGAATATAGAATACTTTATGTAATGTTAGCACACTGATTATCTTATGTTTAAAACCTATCTTCTCAGTTGGAGTATGAGGCCTACAAGGCAAGGCACATACTTTATTCCTCTCCATATGTCCAATGCTTATAACAGATCAGTTCAACATTGATAAATGCCTGACAAATAGAAAAAGGAAGGGGAGGGGAAGGGAAGGGAGGAGAGGGGAGGGGAGGGAAGGGAAAAGGAAGGGAAGGGAAGGGAAAGGAATGGAAGTGGGAAAGAAGGAAAAGAAAGAAGGAAGGAGGAGAAAGAAAGGAAAAAAGGGAAAGAAAGAAGAAGGAAAGAGGGAAAGATTAAATGAATGGATAAATGAATGAACAAGTTATGTTTAGAGAAGGCACTGGATGTGTTGCTAGTTGTTATTAAAGTTCTGAGAAGAGTATAGCATAGTTCTCATTTAGTAATCCACGTTAAGCAAGCAGTAGACTCAGCCTTAGCCTTGTATGGAGTGAAAGCTCAAGGAATGGCCATGTATTGGAGCCGAATTTAGTAGGCAGCAATAAAAAGTTAGTACTAAATCAAAGCTAAGCAGATCATTAAAATAGAACTGTCAATCCAGAGGACCTAAGCAAAAAGTCAGAATCTAAGTAAAAAACAGAGAAATGGAAACAAGAAAAACTAGATGAAAGAAAAGGAAGAGGAGCAGAACCAAGAGAAATCCCTAAGGCAAAGGGAGTAATTACTACAGTTATTCGTGTGCTGCTAATGACCTTAGCATTCCATAGTGACTAAGACTTACATCCTGGAACAAGGTTGCCTGAATTCTAATACTGGTTCTATTGCTTACAGATTCCTTACCTTTACATGACACTTTCCTCATTTAAACCAAGGATGATAATACCTACCTCATAGGGTTATTGTGAGAATTAAATAAAATGTGGCTATTGTTGTTAGGAGGTCCTCAATCAATCTGAACAAACGAAGTAAAATGAGAAGTTAAAAAAATGACTTATTGATAGGGTATAGTATATATCAGTTTACTTAGACCAGTCATGATTTATATTTTATCCTGGTACCTTGGTGTAATATGCTGTTTTGTTATTATAAAAACTAAAAATAAAATGCCTAAGAATTCTGTTGGATGTCAAGTTATGAAATAGTATTTTGAAACATGAAATAAAATACACAAATTTTAAAGAAAAAGTACTAAATTACACTTTGTCAAAATTTAAAATTTCTGAACAAAAGATAAACACCCCAAAAGATGACCAATTGCTTCAGTAATCAAGAAAATTCACATAAAAGCACAGTGATAATTTGCTTCTATAATAGCAGATAGGTGGTTACAGAGCAAACTTCACAAGGGACCAAGTAGAGAAACTGGACAAATTGCAAAATTTATAAAGCAGGTGGAGTATGTCCTTCAATTACAGTGCAAAACTAAAAGTCAATAATCAAAAGAGAACTAGAAAATACCTAAATATTCAAGAGTTAGACAATATATTTTTAAATAATCCATAAGGTAAATAAGTAATCAAAATGGCAATGTTGGCAAGTGCAGTGGCTCAGGCCCATAATCGCAGCACTTTGGGAGGCTGAGGTGGGAAGATCTCTTGAGATCAGCAGTTTGAGACCAGCCTGAGCAACATAGCAAGACCCTATCTCAAAAAAAAAAAAAAAAAAAAAAAAAAAAAAAAAAATTAGCCATGTGTGATGATGCATGCCTGTATTCTCAGCTACTCAGAAGACTGAGGTAGGAGAATGGCTTGAGCCTGGGAGATCCAGGCTGCAGTGAGCCATGATTGTGCCACTGCACTACAGCCTGGGCTACACAGTGAGACCTTCTCTCAAAAAGAGAAAAAAATAATAATGTTGTCAATGAGAATCACAGTATGGCATATCAAAACTTTGGGAAGTAGCTAAAGCCATGCTTAGAGGAAGATGTATAGCAGGAAGGCATATGTCACAAAAGCAGAAAGAGTAAATAATTAATGAATGATTTTTATTGATCTAAGAATCCATTTTAAGAAATTTAAAAATAACAGCAAATTAAATTTAAAGAAAGTAGAAAAAAGGAAATAAATATAAAAGTGTGAAGAAATGAAAGGAAGCAAATGTACTGTAGAACAAATAAATCCAAATGTTATTTTTTAAAAGACATATAAAAAGGGATAAAACTATATTAATATATATTTTTAAGTGGCAAAAATAACTTAGATCAGGAACGAAAGAGCTTATCACTATAGATGTTTATTCCAGAAAGGAATTTATACTCAAAGGTCAATTAGAGTAATTCACCTTACTGACATAATAAAGGAAAAAATGGTTATGTGATCATTTCAATAGATACAGAAAAAGCATTTGATAAAATTCAACATCTGTGCAGTACTATTGCTTTTTTTGGGGGATGGGGTTGCAGAGTCTCACTCTGTCGTCCAGGCTGGAGTACAGTGGTGTAATCTCAGCTCACTGCAACCTCTGCCTCCCAGGTTCAAGCGATTCCCATGCCTCAGCCTCTCAAGTAGCTGGGACAGCAGGCATGCACCATCACACTTGGCTAAGTTTTGTATTTTTAGTAGAGATGGGGTTTCACCATGTTGGTCAGGCTGGTCTTGAACTCCTGATCTCAGGTCATCCGCCCACCTCGGTTTCCCCAAGTGCTGGGATTACAGCCGTGAGTCACTGTGCCCGGCCTTCTCTTTCTAAAGTAGGGCTAAAAGGGAATTTCATTAATTGGATTCTTTTAAATGACAGCGAGCATTATATTTTATGGTTAGATATTAAAAGCTTTCCTTCTTGGCTCCCAAATGAGACAAGAATATCTGATATCATTCTTCCAAATCAGAGTAGAAAACTCAGAATCATATCTGGGTTAAAAATGCATGTTGATCTTAACCATCTGAACTTCTTTTCTCTAGGGAGTGGAGGAGGCAAGGCAAGGAAAAAGAAAGAAAAAGGCAGATGATAATTACATATCACTGAACTTTTGTTCTTTTTTTTAATGCAAAAAGATATTTAAAAGACAGAAAAATGCAAGTAGAACCAGAGGCTGGTGTTAAAATATAGATGCTTTTGGTGTGAAAGAAAGAAAACATGGCAGAAAGCCAAGGAACTTGAGGTGATTTAAAGAGTCACAGGAAGAAAGGCAGACCAGAGCCTGGGAAATGAAACACTTGGAAACTGAAGGAGTAGGTTTCTGAATGTCCCTATGTTTTATGTCTTACTTCTATTTCATTTTTTATTATGGTGTAATAAATGCTCCCAAATCCTGGTACAAATTAGATTATTTGCTTTCTACTGATTCAGAAATAGTCATTGTGCCTTTGACTAGGATAAAAACATTATCAAAATAAAGAAACAAAATTGCTTTAAATGATTCTAATTTCTTTCAAAGCCCCCCAACACACAGAATAAAAAGGTAATCTCTTCCCTCCAATATCTTCCAACAACAAGAAAGTCAGTCACAGTCTGAATTCAATAGAAATATATGAACATAATAAGCTAAAATAGTAGTAAAAGCCTAATGTTAAATGACAATTTATAAATTGATATTTTCAATTATCATGAGCCATACTACAATAATCATTAGTAAGTCTACTTATTCCAACAAATTCAATAATTTAATTTCAAGTGAGATGGATATTATTCTCTAATGTAATTCTTGCAAGTTAACACAAACAAGTAATTTTTTTCCAAAAGAACTTGTATAAAAAGGCACACCACACACTTGGAGCTTGTATCTATGTTCACTCCCTGTTTGTGTTAAATTGACAGGTTCACTTAAAAACAATTAACACTATAATTCTTATACAGACAAAATAGCTAGCATGTTACATTTTTCATCTGGACATGTTGTTGTCTTATAGACACAGCCAGGAATTCTTGGCAAAAATTCAGGGCTCCTAGGTATACCATAGGTCAGTATTATATAGACTATGTAATTCTGGATTCAATCACAAATGGGCCATTAAAAGCTAACTTTATAAAATAAATAATTAAATAAATAAATAAGACCACCAAATCTGTTGGCTGAGTTTTGCCAGTGCATCTAGAACTGAACCTCACTGGCCCATTATAATCAGGACTGTAAATTGCCTGTTATTAAATTGCTTTTCCTGTGGTAAGAGAAGATACATTGAAGTCAAGCAGGTAACAGCATTGGATCATGATTCATTTTGCAGACTTTATGGAGCCAAATTGCGTGTTGCCAATCAATATGGAGCCACACAGTTGTTTTTAAATGTCTTGCCACAGGAATTGGCTTGCAGCCACCATCGTAGGAGGGTGGTGTAAGGAAGCTGATACTGGAGGAAGGGAGTAAATGCTGTTTCCTCTCTGGAGTCTGTGTATTTGTATATTTTGCTATACAATCAGTATTTTGAAAGACACCTATAAATTTAGAGCCCCTCAGGTCAGAATGCTTAGAATATGGCTTTATTCTAGAGGACAATTCTGATTTAAAAATCCTTGCTTGAACTCCTGAATCTCCCTATGTGTGTATCACAAGCTAAAAAGAGGTAGAGTCCCAGATTGGGATTTCTTAGATTTCAAACATTTGGTTTATGGATTTAAATTTTTATTGTATTCTATAATTTTGGAATTCTCTACACCTTGGCAATTTTGCAGTGTGTGCAATGTCACCAGCAGAGAGAGATCCGTGTTTTAAATATCAAAATCCAAGAAAACAAAAAATAGTTAAGCTAAAATGACTATTACAAGGAACTCAATTATATATTCCATTTCTGAATTGTATCTTTAGAGCTTTCTTTCCTGCTTCATGTATTTTATGTCCTCACAAGAATACAGTATTCTTGCTATTTTATAATTTTTTATAAATAAATCCAAATAGGTTATTTATATATTTTGGTGATAGAAGAAAGCATTAATCAAAAAGGCTATTATAAGTAGCAATAGGAAGTAGAGCACTTATTGCATTTGGAGATAATTTTATAAAGCAGAAAGCCAGATTTTTGAGAATTCTATCCACTATAAATAATCTGTCATAAATCATTGAAGATTTTCTGTTCCATTCTACTTTGTGAAATGAAAATCTCTTGGTAGTCCAATCAAAATATGCATTGGTATTTCTCATATTGCATTTTTTATCCCTCTATTATGACTCAGAACTCTGTAAGGTTGAGCAGGTGTATCTAGGAATCAAGTAACATGAAACTTTGTCTTCCCTAGTTATGTTTTTTTCATTCCAGATATATAAGCTTTTATTAATTTTTTTCTCTCTTGGGGACATTATATCTTCCAAATATTTGCAATAAATTTTATAGTTATCCACATGAGGTTCATTAGTTGTTCAGATGAGGGAAGAGTGAAGTCTGGCTATATATCTAGGAGAGTCAAGAAGAGTTTCTTTACATCTATGTTGTAAAATGTCTCAAAAACATGTCCAGATATCATACATCTCTGATAACCCTTTGAGCCAGGATATTGATCAACAATTTTGCATTGGAAGTATATGCCATTTAACTGAGTTGGTGTTTCTCATTATACTCACTGACATACAAATAGCAACATTATCAAGTCCTGCCTTTAATCCACAATGGGGAAAGACTGTGTGGTAAAGCATGTTATTTCCCAGATTGGGTTTATACAGATGTCTGGAGACATTTAACGTATGCAAGAAGTTCTGGGAAGTCATGGGATGAATAGGAGGCATCCTTTGGAGTGGCATCTTTTCTTGAAGGAGGAAAAGAGTCAAAAAATTTAATTTAATTTGTAAGTTATAAAACAGATAATATTGCAGCAAACATGTAACAGGATAATAGTACACTAATTTGTACCAAGTTAAAGATAATAGTGAGATAAATGAATTTTGGACACTTAATATAAATGTCATGCTTCAGCAGAATGTATTCAGCTACAGCAATACATAGCATCCAGGCTAGACAGTTTTTTCTGTTTTTAGGACTACTTTGATACAGAAGTATGAGACGTGTGGTAGAGTGAAAGTAACACCAAGCTTGATCTTTCCCCCTTGCTAGTGTTGTGAACTTGAAGTCCTGTTAAAAATGTGTGTGTGTATATATATATACACACACATATATATACACGCATATATACACACATATATATGCACATATATACACATATATATGCACATATATATACACACTTATATATACACACATATACACAAATATATACACACATATATATACACACATATATACACATATATATACACACATATATATATACACACACATATATAATATCCAAAATACTGTCATCAAATCAATATCGCGGGTTTTTTGAAAGAATCAAATATGATAATGTGGCTGAAATTCCTTTGCCACCTGAAGAAGAAGAAAAAAGTGGATTTTTTCCATTTATTATTTTATTTAGCAGACATTTATTGAGCACTGACTCTGTGACAAGACTTCACTAAGTATGACTCTTCTCTTCAAGGAGTCTACGTGCTGAAATAAAGGAGACTGCAGTGATTCGATCACTTCAATAGAGTGCACTGAGGCCACTGATAGGTGTTTGTGCTGAGTTGAGTGATAACATTTGAGGAAAAACCTGAATGTAGAGGAATAAGCCTCAGAAGACAGCTCAAGAAAGAGAAGTCTGGGCAGAGGGAACACTAAGAGGCCTGGAGGTAGAAGCACACTTCATTTCTTATGGGGACATTATGTTTGAGGAATAGCATTTTGAGGAGTCAGCACAGTTGCATGGTTTTCTCCAGCAATGTGGTTAACATGGAAAAGAAAGGTAGTTAGATTTTATGAAGGTTGAGGTTTATCAGGGTGATTACAAAAAGGGCTTTGAATGTATAAAGCAAAGAAGGGATTTTTATGGAAGAATCATGGACTCTAAAGAAAGACATGGAGGAAGTCACTGGGACAGAACATGGGTTGAAGGCAATGGACAGGGAGTAACATGAAGGTGGAGAATTGCCCGAGTGAGACACTAAAGTACAAAGAATATTTGAGGGTTTGGCACAGAAAGAAAACAGAGATAAAAGTCCAGGGAAAAGAACACGATATAAAGCAATAGGTGGAGTAATAGCCCAGTTTTGTAAATCTCAGTAATACTTGGAAGGATACACAACAAAATGTTAATAGTCGTTATTGCAGGATGACAGAATTATGAGCCAGTTTTATTTTATTTTCCCTGTCTTCTATATTTTCCAAATTTTCTTCATTCAATATATATTGCTTTTGTAATTGAGAGAAAATTAAAAACAGATGTGGTATCCCAGAAATACGAGAGTAAAACCAAACAGGTAATTAAAGACAATCATTCCCAGACCTGAAGAAATGGAGAGCGATATTCAGCACCACGGAAGCATCACAAACTGATTCCAAGATAGACCAAACTGCCACATCTACTGCACTTCCTTCATGTCTGCACCCTCCCCCCAGCCTCCCTTCCCTCTCCCGGAAACACACAACAAAACTCACACATACAGTGAGAAACTCACACACTAGCACACACACATTCTCACTTCTGCACTTCCTTTTTCTTAAGCTGACAGGAAGCCCTAAATACCATTAACATAGGCAACCACACCCCTTGCATCTCTGAACATTTCTGCATGACTCTGGACAGTTTTGACTGTGCCCTTTGTTTTCACATGGTCGGCTTTGGAACAGGTAAATGTATTGGGAAGGCCAATTTAAGCCAGAAAAAGTTCCTCTTGAATAATTCCAGTTTCCCTCTCCTGCCTCCATCTTCCCATCCCATCTTCACTTCCAATAAAACACATTAATAAACATAAGTTTATTTTCCATCCAGCTCTGGGGGTGTGATTTGACAAAGGGACAACTGATGATCCCCTAACCAAATTTTAGTAATGTTTCTCTGAGTAATTTACCAATGCCACTATCCAAGCTATTGGGGTTCTCTCCCAAAGACCATTGTCTTGAATCCACAGGCATTTTTGCTTATACTCCTCTAGCAATTTCTGCTATCTACAATTCCAGTTCCTTGTCCACCACAGCACAGCACATGAGATTGGCTAATTTTAAAACATCTAATTTAAATTCAGGAACAGGTACAACCAGTGTATAGATTGCTCAATCTTTTTATGAACTATTTTTTAAATCGTTTTTTTCCTTCTACTAATCCTAGCTCTTTGAGTCTTACTCCATTTTGGATGGTTTATCCTGCCTCATCCAAAGACAAAGATTTTTTCTTTAGTTATGTTGGTCCTTGGAAAGGCAAATTTGTTTTGTTTAAGCTGCAGATCTCCAATTTCAGTTTCATTTTAGCTTCAATTGGATGAGTTTCCCTAGATTTGGTACTCAAGGTTCTCTGACTTAACTTTGAATTTGCTTTCCTAAATCATTTAGCTTCAATTCTGTGGTTCCCTGCATCATTTAATCTGTAAAATGTAGTCCACATACAAAACATACTCATGATCTTGAAGGAAACTAAGATAGTGTATACAGGGAGATATATATATCTATTTTATATATATAGTATATACATATATAACATGTATACATATATAATATATAACATATATTATATATGTATACACACATTGTATATATAAAACATGTGTTATTTATACATTATATATAAAACATCATATATATGCTTGGAATATATATATCTATATCTTGGAATATCTATATCTTGGAATATATATATATTGGAATATATATATATATCTTGGCATATATATATATATCTTGGAATATATATATATCTTGGAATATATGTGTGTGTGTATATATATATATATATATATATGCTGAGAAGGTGTTAGCAGGGAAAGGAATGAACCTAACTCTGGGTCAGACAGACCTGCAATCAAATTCCTTCAGTGTCACTTTTTAAAAGGCTGTATGACCTTCAGAAAATTACCTAACTTATTTGAATGTTAATTCTTTAACCAAAAAAATGGAATTATAATCGCCTAATACAGTTGTTTTGAAGTGCTAAGGAAACAGTGAGCACATAGTTCCCAGAACAGTGACTGGCAGTGACACGTGGTCATTTACTTCTTTCCCTCTGTGCCTTCCATTTGGGAGTGACTATCTTTTCATCTGTCAGATGTCAGCCATAATATTAGCACATCTGCAGCCTAAGTTCAAATGAACAAACCTGTCTCTCAAATTGTTTAGAGAGAAATATGTACTCACTGCCTAATAATTCCGATGATTTTCTATGCATGGTCTAGCATTCCAATTGCACTAGCATTTATTAGGCCTAACTTGGGGGGCGGATTCAGATATCCAACTGGTCTTACAATCAACCAGATTTTCTTGAATAAGAAAGAAATTCCGGCTGGGGGCAGTGGCTCACACCTGTAATCCCAGCACTTTGGGAGGACGAGGTGAGCGGATCACCTGAGGTCAGGAGTTCGAGACCAGCCTGGCCAACAAGGTGAAACCCTGTCTCTAGTAAAAATACAAAAATTAACTAGGCATGGTGGTGGGCAGCTGTAATCCCAGCAACTTGGGAGGCTGAGGCAGGAGAATTGCTTGAACCCGGGAGGTGGAGGTTGCAGTGAGCCAAGATCACACTACTGCACTTGAGCCTGGGTAACAACAGCGAAACTTCCTCAAGAAAAAAAGAAGGAAGGAAGGAAGGAAGGAAGGAAGGAAGGAAGGAAGGAAGGAAGGGAGGGAGGGAGGGAAGGAGGAAAGGAAGGAGGAAAGAAAAGAGGAAAGAAAGGAGGAAGGGAGGGAGGAAAGAAAGAAGCTTCTTCAGGTTCCTTTCAATCAAAGAACAGTCAAGACTCAGGATATCTCTCACCCTAGAGCTGAATCTCATAAAAGAAAGAAAGAGAGAAAGGAAGAGAACAGAACAGAAGAGAATCCCCAGGAGGAAAGGGGAAAAAATCCCTTTTGTTGATGTTCAACCTCTGGCAATCTCGAATCCTGTATTACACATCGAATGAAATCATTAATCCATAGAGACACAAAGCTCCCTAGCAAATAATATTATTTCTGCTATTCAACTTAGACTTCATTAGTCTTTCAAAGTTACCAAACTTAAACTTTCTAATTGAGCTAGAAAATCAGAATCTGCCTTTGATCACATTTTTTAATGCAACCTCTCTCTTTTCTGCCTGTGACCATTTCTTCTTACAGCTCTTCTTTCCTTGAAATTGAGAAAGAAAAATCTCTGCAAGAAGAAAATATTCAGAGATAGCCCTCCAGATAGACTCATATGAATAAGAAATCCAGGAAAGATATGAAAAGAAATAAAGAATAGGACCATCTTGCCTTTAGGCCTGCTACTTTTTCTAACATGTTAGTTTAGAGGACTTGTTGGGTTTTTTTAGGTTCTTAGCTTTTTAACTTGGGCTTATTGAATTTTCCAGATTGAGTGATGAAGGTTATCATGTGTTTCAGTTTGCTTCCTTGTCCCTGCTGGGATCACAGTTGAAAAAAAAATTAAAAAGAAATTAAGGTCCATTCTGGTAACAGACCCAGAATTTACAAAGGAACTAAGGGTTGTGAAAGCAAAACCACTGATACATATACCACAGTCAAGAAGTCTGTTTTCATTTAGCAAATAAATATTTAGCTTCCTTTAATAAATCTAAATTCTAAGAAAAATGGCAGATTGTAGAAATGGCAAAGTTAAATTTTTATAAGAATTTCCTTGCTGAAACCAAAGCTAGGAATTTCTGGTAGAATAGTGTAGAAGCTTTTTGGAATCAGGAAGGCTTTTCAACAGTGGAAGCTCAGGGTTCACAGGGAGACTTCTAAAGCATGAACTCACATTCTCAAGTCAGGCTCAAGACCACACTGTTTTCATTAATCCCTCAGATTTCAGATAAATGGACAGAGTCACCTGCAGTCCCGACACTTTACATTAGATAGGTGTTTACTGGTCCCTAACAGCAGCCCCAGAAATTGGCCTCCTGGTAATTGGAGACAGAAGAATAAGGGCAGGTAGTTTTATCTGAAGACTCTTTATGTTACAATTATGATAAGGACCTCATTCTCTGTTACATTCTTAACACTTAGAACAGTGCCTGTTGTGTTGTAATAAATACCTGTTGAAAGAATGAATAAATGTGGTGCTTACATTGTGATAGACACTTAACTACTTTTTGTATATCACTGCATTTAAATTAAAAGTTTACAATCACTCTGTAGTTTAGATATCACACTACCCAGTTTACAGATAAGAAGATGAGCCCCGGAAAGGCTGCACAATTTGCCCATGCAAGAAATAGAATTGTTTGATTCTAAAACTCTTATAGTTATGCACTTTCATTCCACCTCATCCTCAGTCTCAAAATCAAGGGCTATTAAGGAACTGTTTGATAATGGCTCCAACGGTCATGAAATTAAACTGTCCTATGTTTATTCCTGCATTCAGGCACCACATATTTATTAAGCGCCTACTACTGTATGTCAAGGGTATTGCCAGGTTCTGGGATGATACAGAAAAATAAGACATGAGTTCCTATCCTTAAAAAGCTGGCAAGGCCCACCCATAAATTAATAATCATAACACAGAGGGCTTAGCACCCTTTTAGGTAGATGTACATGGTATTATGGACATGCAGTCAGAGGAGATCTATATCCCTCTTTCTCCAAAAATATCAAACAAATAATATGAATTAAAATGACACAAGGCTGAAAGTACTCTGATGGATTCTCACACAGAGATTCAACTGAGATTATCAAATGATAATGTCTTTACTCATGTATTATACTCATTGCCCCACTCTCATTTGTCATTTCCAATCCTGGTAAGCTGTCATTCATCCCTTTTTCAGGTTAAAAACTGTGGTTTTGTTTCAGGTTTAAAAAATTCTGTGTTGAAATCCTCTATTCTCAGACCATTCATTTTCCAATCTTTTGATCATTTTTGTTGTTCCCTGTATATCCATCACATTCACTTTAAATTATGGAATCCCAAATTAGAAGCAGTTCTGTAAAAAGCATTGGAACAACTATACATATCACATAAAAGGGGAACTCTCCCACCATTCTACTCCTGTTTATGTATCCTGGGGTTATGTGAATGAATTGCTATTTGTACAAGCAATTCTTGAATCACATACAATATTTTTGATGCCTTAGCAATCCCATAAATTACAGCAAGTATAATTTTTCTATTTCCTCTTTCTCTTTTTAATCACAGTCCTCCAGTCTCATCACAGCTTTCAGATTTTCCCTGTCTTTAGAAGTGTTCGCATGTTATAGATTTTAGGTTCACTTCTTAGAAAATCAAAAATAGTTTAGTATAAGAAACTAGAAAAGCAAACACACAAGCTGCACTGTCTAATTAAACAAATCACTAATTCTGATGTATTTCCTTCTTATTTATAGTACACAACCAACAACATTTATCTATTTATACAAAAATACTTGCCCTACCTGCATTGTGCATTTCTTGCCTTGGCAGTCAAAAAATAAAGATGCTTTATGGGAGTTCAGAATTCTAAAAGATTATGATATTGTTCTCTAAAAATATTAAATTATTATTTCAACTGTCAGCAAAACACTTCAGAAGTTTTTCATAGTTACAAGAGTTGGCTAGAAGTACAGAAACACATCTTTATTCAACTATTTTCTTAAGGTTTGTCTCTGGTTTGTAACCGTAGTTCACTGAAATGTTTTTTTCTAAATAAAGAAAGGAAGAAAAAAACCCCTGATAAGAACACTTTATCATAGCCAATATTTTTGTATGTCACTTTGATGCTACTGTAATATACAATATTTGCTACAGCTGTTAATTATATGGCTAGATGGACAGGCGGCTAGAAAGATAGATAGATAATAGCTAAATGTCTTATATTCCATATATTTTTCTAAGTGCTTTTCATATGTCAAATAATTTCATCTTCACAACTCAATTACTTTAAAGTTCAGGAATCATAGATACAGAGAAGTTAAGTCACTTCCACAAAGATGCAGGATAAATGGCAGAATCAGGCTTAAGAGCAGAACTGTCCAAGACATATACAGTACGGGCCACATATGTGATTTTAAACTTAATAGTAGTCATACTAAACAAATAAATTGAAGGGTTGAACTGATTTACAATTCATTTATTTAGCCTAACGTATCTAACATATTAGTATTTCAACATGTAACTAATTTAAAAAATTAATGAGATATTTTTACATTCTTCTATGCATGCTACATTTTAAAAATTCAGTGTCTCTTTACACCTTATAGAACATGTAATTTTGCACCAGCCAGCTGCATTTCAGGAGCTCAGTATGCAGATGTTACTAGCAGCTACTATCTTGTATAACACAGCCTTGGAGCATGAGCATTTTTGTATGTGTGTGCCTGACATTAATCAATCTCAAGCTTTAAGATGATGACTGTTGCTTATTGACATAGTGGACATTTGTTATACAAATACACATCAGGTCTGAATAAAAATGCACATATTTATGTCTATCTTGACTTCAGAAGGTGCATCATAAGCACAAGCTGATAATTAACGATTGCCTGCCTTTGACAAGACTGGGAACTAGGTTCACACAGATGAGCCCAGCCCTGCTCTGGCCGCCGACATTTCACCACATACCATCATTTCACTCTGCAACGTCAGGTTCCCTTCCTCCTCCTTCTCCCACTACTACCCATTTCCATCTGCTTGGATGTGCAGCCCCCCCTGCTCCAGGCTGTTCTTCTACCAGCCTTTTTGTTTGAGCTCCTGAAGCAGACTCTCTTGAGCTTAAAGTGGCTCTGAATGTTCTCCGTTCTCCTAGTATGCTTTTTTTCTTCTTTTTTTTAATTAGACGGAGTCTCACCCTGTCACCAGGCTGGAGTGCAGTGGCGAGATCTTGGCTCGCTGCAACCTCCACCTCCCCGGTTCAAGCGATTCTCCTGCCTCAGCCTCCCGAGTAGCTGGGACTGCAGGCACACGCCACCAAACCTAGCTAATTTTTGTATTTGTAGTAGAGATGGGGTTCACCTTGTTGGCCAGGATGGTCTCGATCTCTTGACCTCGTGATCCCCCTGGCCTCGGCCACCTAGAGTGCTGGGATTACAGGCATGAGCCACCGTGCCTGGCCCTAGTATGCTTTCTTACATCCACTGCTATGAGGTGTTCTTTGGCCATGAGGAGGTGGCATCTTTGAGGCTAAAGTCACAAAACAGAAAGAATCCCAGAACATAGAAAGAGTATATGAGGACAGGGCTTATCCCAGGGAAAGGCTGCACTAGGTCTGGCTCTTAGCACCTTCTCTTTGATACCTTATCTCCCTTTTATTGACATTTCCTGAATATTCTCCAGGGTCATCAATGGGTAGTTCAACTGAATGTTCCCTCTTTCCCTTTCCCATATACCCATAAAAAATAACTAGGTTAAGGGAGAATTTTGAGCTGTCCTAAAAGATATAAAGGCTCATAAAAGGGTAGCCTGGGGGAAGGGTGAAAGGAAAGAGGAACACTACCCCCTCCTTCCCTCCCTGAAAGAGTTTCTAGTGAGGGAGGTTATGGAAAGAAGGTCATAGTCAAGCAATCTCAGTTCTCTATAAAGACAATCTGGAAAACACCCTCTTCTCACCAGGGTGTGAGACTTAGGTCTCACTTGATGACCTAAGTCACCAAGGAGCAGCTTTTTCTCCAGTTCAAGGGCATGGTGCCCAGTGGACTGCTTCAATGATACCTTAACAATGATTCTGGCACTGGGATGTCTCAATTTCACTTTACCTATAGGAACCATCTCTGAGTTTATGCAGTTTCAGATTCTATTTCAAGCTTATGCTCTGAGTTCTTAGCTTTGAGAGAGGTAGTAAAAAAGCAGGGAGAAGATAACTCCAGTAGCTAATTATGATGGACAACCACAAAAAAATTTGGATACCATGGCTCACCTCCAACCACCCCTACCATGTAGGTAGAAACAATCCAAACTAACTGCAGAATATCCAGTATTTTTCTGAGAAAATCTATAGATCCTTTATTCTTAAACTTCTTAAGGCATTGATAGTTGTCTGAAAGCCTGAAGGGCCGAATTTGTTTCTTCAGTCTGTGTAAGTTGTTCTCAAACTTTAAAACGCATAAAATTACTGCATACAGATTTTTATAAGCAAATAGAGGTAAATCAGACTTTACAGAGCTGCTAAGGGTTTTCACTTGTATCTTCACATAGGCAAGCTATAGACTTCAGAACCTAATATGGCTTCATAGGTTGTAAGTTGACCCCAGGACTATCAGTAAGACTACCTATAGCTGCTCCTATTAGTTTCTTCACTTCCACCACTCCAAAAACTGGCATTAATAACTACCATTTATTGGGAATTTTCACTATTCCAGTTATTGCAATAGACATGTTTTATTTATTATCTTTGATACTGACAAAAAATTTAAAAAGGTAGGTATAACTATAACCAATGAAGATGAAGAAACAGGCTCAAGACAAAGTAAGCAACATTTTGGAGGTTATGTGTCTACAGTGCAATGTAGTCAAATCCTAAACCCAAAGTGAATCCAACATAAGTGCCTTTTCACCATGATGCACCACAGTAATGATTATCTCAGTAGAATCTTCAAAAAGAAACCTCTCCTGTGATAACTGGATCCAGACTTGTAGTGTTTTCTGTTTATTTGCCTGATTAAAGAGATAACTGGGCCTGAAAGCATGAGAGCCATATTTGTTAGAGGATTGTGTTTATAATTATACTGGCAATGATTAAGGCCTAACATATGGTTTATCCTGAAAAAGGTTTCATATGAACTTGAGAATACATATTTTTCTGTTGTTATGTAGAGTGTTTTGTATATATTTCATATAATCAATTGATTTATGGTGTTGTTCAAGTCTTCTATTTCCTCATTGATCTTCTGCTCGTTGTTATATCCATTATTGAAAGTGAGGTATTGAAGTACCTAGGTATGACTGTAAACTCTATTTCTCCCTTTAGTTTTGTCAATTTTGCTTCACATGTTTTGGCATCTATTATTAGATATTCATGTGTTAATAATTGTTATATATTCCTTATGGATTATATTACTTATCAATATATATAGTGTCCTTCTTTATCTCCCGTAACCTTTTTTCCTTAAAATCTCTTTGATCCAATAATATTAAGTCACTCTGGTTCTCTTTTTGTTACCACTTGCATGGAATAGCTTATTCTATCATTTTACTTTCAACCTTTTTTGGTCTATAGATCTAGAGCAAGTCTCCAGTAGACAGCATATAGCATATAGATAGATCATGTTGTTTATCTTTTCTGCAACACCTACCTTTTAATTGGAGGATTTTAATACATTTACATTTAAAGTAATTACTGAGAAGGAGGGACAGACTTCTGCTATTTATCTATATATTTTCTGTATGTTTTATGTTATTTGTTCTTCACTTCATCCATTTCAGACCTTTTTTATTTCTCATTTCTATATAATTTTTAGTTATTTTCTTAGTTGTTACCTTAGGGATTAAAATTAATATCTTAAACTTATGACAACCTAGTTTAACCAATACCAACTTAGTTTCAGTTGCAAACATCCTGCTCCCATACATCTCCATGCCTTCCCCTTTACATAGTTATTGTCACAGAATGCATCTTTACACACTGTGTGCCCTTTAACACAGATTTATCTTGACTGATTTATGCTTTTGCTGTCTTTTAATCATAGACAAAGTAAAAGCATTCTAAACCAAAAAAAAAAAAAAAAGAGGTTAAAGTTTTTGGTGGTGCCCCTCACAGCCTTCTAGCAAGAACTGATCAGATAGTTACATGGTCAATATGAAAAAATGAAGTGTTTAACAGGAAAAATCTTTACTGGCCCAGTAGGAATTTTCTTCTGTTTAACAGAATGTAACATCACAAATGATTTTAGACTATAGGTCATTGACTTAAGGGAAAAACAACTGCACAATTCAGAGGGTAATAGAAAAAAATTACTCAGGAATTGGTGCCATATAAAATACAAGAAGATTACATAATCATTTCTGGTATGATCTCAGCTTTATATAATGTCTAACAATAGCTAACATCAATTAAGCACCTACAACTTATATTTACTATATAATATATAATATTTTTCATATTTGATCCAATTTAATCTTCATAACATACCTTGACATACATACAGTTTTGTCTGTAACATTTCACAAATGAGGTTAAAGTATTATCCTCATGCATGAGATGGTCAGAGATGCCCTCTCTGAGTTAGGACACAGTGCAGGGGAGGAAACAGGCTGCGTTGATATTAGAGAAAAGCATTGCCGCCAGAGAGAAGTCCACAAGTTTTGAGGCAGTAGTGTGCCGGGTGTGTTGGAAAAAGAGCCAGGAGCCAGAGTGACTTGAGTGGAATGAACAGTGGCAACCTTTGATGCCTTGGTAAGGATCTACCTGGCTGTTACCATAAGTGGCCTGGGCAATCATGATAAGACTTGAACAGAGGAGTGACATTGTTTTGACTGTTTTAAAAAGAGTATCCTCACTGCTACAATGAAAAAAGATTAAACTAGAACAAGAATTAAAATAGAACACGGGTTAGAAAACTATGGAAAATCATCTACTCAAGAGATGATAGTAGCTTTGACCAGGGTGGTAACAAGAAGATGGTGAGAAATAAAATTCTGAATTTATTTTGAAGGAAAAGTCAACAGGATTTTCTGAAAGATTGGCTATAAGGAATAAGAAACAGAATAACTTTAAGGTTTTCACTTTGAACAAGTGTATGAATGCAGCTACTATTTCCTGAAATTGGGGAAAACCGTGAGATGAACCAATGTGTTGGTGTTCAGGAATTGAGACTGGGAAAGTTCAAGATGCCTTTCACATCTCCAGGTGGATATGAATCTGACATTCAGGGCAGAGGTACAAAATGGAGATTTAATTTGTGAATCATCAGCACGTAGGTTGCATTGGAACCCTTGAGCCAGGATGAGATTACTGAGGGAGTAAATTTAGATTAAAAATGGGAGTGATCCATAGACTACATCCTGGGCAACTTCAAAATTTGCCACACACAAGATAATTATGAAGAACCAGAAAAGTAGACTGAATAGGAGCAGCCAGAGAAGTAGAAGGAAAATAAAATATGTTGGTGTTCTGCAATGTATGTGAAAGAAGCCTTGCAAGTGAATCAACTAGAAGTGGACACATGCACACGTATGTTTATTGCGGCATTATTCACAATAGCAAAGACTTGGAACCAACCCAAATGTCCAACAATGATAGACTGGATTAAGAAAATGTGGCACATATACACCATGGAATACTATGCAGCCATAAAAAATGATGAGTTCATGTCCTTTGTAGGGACATGGATGAAACTGGAAACCATCATTCTCAGTAAACTATCGCAAGAACAAAAAACCAAACACCGCATATTCTCACTCACAGGTGGGAATTGAACAATGAGATCACATGGACACAGGAAGGGGAATATCACACTCTGGGGACTGTGGTGGGGTGGGGGGAGGGGGGAGGGATAGCATTGGGAGATATACCTAATGCTAGATGACGAGTTAATGGGTGCAGCGCACCAGCATGGCACATGTATACATATGTAACTAACCTGCACAATGTGCACATGTACCCTAAAACTTAAAGTATAATAAAAAAAAAAAAAAAGAAGTGGACACATTATATGGAATAACAGAAACTCCAGAGATGCTCATGACTACCCTTCAAAACAACATTGTATGTCTAGGATTACATATCCATTCTCTTGAATAAATACCCAGAAACCTCAGTGGAACTTTTTGTAGCAAATTTGGTAGAACAGGGAGTAGAAAAAAAAGGTATGCAATTAGACGAAAATCTCTGAACAACTTCCTTAGGATAGATCTATACAGATTTCTCATAGAATCCATATCCCAAAAAGCAATATTAGTATTCATCAGAGACGAGGAAGCCATTAATTACTATAAAAGAAACACAAAACTAGCACCTAAAGTGACAGAATTCTCTCACTTTATGAAAATAATGAGGAAATATTGTCAGTTGAAGTGGAATCTCTCTATCACTTGCACAGTCCAACGTTTCTTTTCTTTTCTTTTTACATGCTGGTAGGAGTATATATTCGTATAGCATTTTGGAAAGGCAATGTGACATTAAAACACACAATTTATATGACTTTTCAGCAATTTCTTTCCAGAATCAACCCCAAAGAAACTGAAATAGTCAAATGAAATAACCATCCATAACAGAGAATAGTTGGTGTGGTGTGTATGTGTGTGTGTGTGTAGGTATGTGTGTGTGTGTGTGCGTGTGTGTATATATATATGATGGAATACTACACAGCCACTAAAAAGGAATGAATTGGCTGCGCATGGTGGCTCACACCTGCAATCCCAGCACCCCAGGAGGCCGAGGCGGGCAGACCACCTGAAGTCAGGAGCTTGAGACAAGGCCAGCCAACACGGTAAAACCCCATCTCCACCAAAAACACAAAAATCAGCCAGGTGCAATCATGCCCGCAATCCCAGTCCAACATTTCTATTACATTTGGAATGCCTCTTGTAATCCCTATAGTGTACATTTCATTACAGTTATTTTATAACACTTCAAGTTGAAGGCAATGATGGGAAGTCTTAACCAAGTTCATAATTACTAGTTATCCAGCATATTTTAGGTATTTAAAACTTTTTGTAGAATGCATAAATGAGTGGTAGGTTTTGCAGGTACTGAGAAAAAATACACTGAATGAAGATGCAATGTGTTCTTCAAGAAAAGTATAAGAAAAATGGAAGTCTGCATAACCCAATAATGGGAACAGACAATGGTAGGATCTATCTAGAAAATAAGCTGCATAACCTCAGAATAGCTAGAAATATTTTCTTTCATCTCTAAGCAGCTACTATATTTAACTAAAATATTTTCACTGTTATTATTTTTGTACCACACTAATTGCTAAATACATCCCTGTTCTTAGACAGAAGAAGTGCCTTGCTTTTCAAAATGACAGTTTGAGATATAGCAGAATCCTCATTTAAGTTTCTCACGGCAAATGGAGTTCTTTGTTGTCCTTCAGCTGAAAGAATCAATGTAATTTTAAAAAATGATTTGTTGCCCACTATGTGCAAAGCACTGTTCCAGGGACAACCACAAGCAAAGCACAATATTTATCCTCAAAGAACTCGTAGTTTGTGAGTAAAAAGGCACAAGTGATGCTTGAGAAATGCCCTATGACAGATATACATAAAAGGTTTTGAGATGTATAAGATAAGGAATCCATCAGGTCTGAGAGGATCCAGAGAGTTTCATCCTTTAAAGTAGGCATTGGAAATGGATTTTGAATGATTTATTTTCTAGGCAAGCAAGAATCAGACAGGTGTTCCAGAGATAAGGAAGTGTCTGAATAAAGGCATAGACACAAGTTTCTGATATTAAAGAGAATAAATAGTATAGTGAATGGCTGGAGGAAAAGAGGGAGAAAATCAGAGGATGAGAGGCAAAAATAAGGAGATTTATTTCTTCATTTAAAATGGAAATGAAAGAAAATAAATGTTCAATATTTGATGTATATTTATTTTATGTATAAGAAAATTTAAAATGTTCAATATTTAATGTATATTTCTTTTATGCATTACTGCTCAGCTAAAATGAGTAAGTGAAGTGAAGAAGAATACCATGCTCAGTAGACACACCCAGACCAAGTCTTAGGGTTTTGTTTAAAGGTTGAAGTTTGTAGTTTTGAGATACCCAGAAGTTCCAGGCCTCCAGAAAACCAGTATTTAATCTACTTTTCCCTACTATTCAGACTCAAATGCTAAACCAACGTGAGCAAAAGAAGGAAGGATCATATGATGAGCTGAAATATACAGGAACAATGACAGAATAGATAATAAGAGGAAGTCTGAGCAGAAATGAAACTTAGAAACCAGAAAAGTATACACTGAACACATGCTAAATTTATAATTACAGCTATTCAAAACACTCGAGGATAAGTTGTCAAGTTAAGGACACACAAAAATAAGAGGTATATTTCACTGTGATCTTTTAACATTCAACATTCAAAATTTTTCCAAATGGCACAGATTTTGTTTCTCAAGGTTTTATCATTGTTAGTAACATTTTTACATTTTCACTGATAAAAATGAAATATGAAATAATTTAGGAAAGAGAATCAAAGAGCAGTGACCTAAATATACACTATACTGATTCTTACACTTCCTTTTTATAAAGCTACTGTGACTAACATCCATTTCTCTATCTTATCTGATAAAACAAATCCTTTGTACATTGTGAGATTTTTATAAAAATATATAACTTAATTCTCAGTTTATCACTGAAACTTAAATAATAATAAAATAACACCAATAATATACAATAAGTAATAATACTGATAAATTGTGTTTCTTATATACTAACACATAGAAACCATCAACATTGCCATTTAATTAACTTAGAAATAAAAAGTGACGTATAAGTGCTCAAATTAGAAGGAAATCTTATTTTTTTTTTACTTCTAGGTATATAAATATACAAAATAAAGTAGAATATAATAAATAGTAAGGCCAGAACAAGTAGTACCAAATAAATGGTATAGGAAAAACGCTAGGTGTTTAAAATGTTAATTCCAATCAAGGAGACTTAGATTAAGTCAAATTTCACTTTGTTTTGATATTTTTCCTATTAATTATTCAAGCACACAGCATTTAAATTGATTCATATATTTAATAATTTTACACAGAGTGAAATGTCAATTGGTATTCTTTGTTTTCTTCCATATTTTTTATTAGGAAAAGAAGAGAAACCTGGAAGAAAATTTTCCTGGAAAGAAAGAGAGCATTGTTCAGCAGCAAGAACACTGACCATGAGAACAATTCTTCTACTCAGAAGCCACCTGACCTTGGGCCTGTCACTCAGGTTTTCTGAGCCACAGTTCCCTGACCACTCGTCTTGCTTATTTTATAGGGGCTTTAGTTTCTTTACTGATAAAATTGCTGTGCTTTGTAATAATAACACCTATGTAAGAATCAAATTAGTTAAATATGGAAATATGCATAATTGTAAAGTATCATACCCAGTTTCTGGAACCTAGCTGATATTTTATTAGTGAATAGAAGGAGAAAAGCTTGTCCCATTGATGCTCAGTAATACAAAACATTTAAAGAATAAATTCAAAATCTTGGCTATAATAGAATTTTTTAAAGTGTTATTATCCTTCAATGTTTGAGTTTGTAAGTGAAAAGTCACATTAGGAATCAGCTTTGATTAAAACAAAGGAATAACTCTTATAGCAAGTAAACCATTTGTATGATAATAATCCATTGGATATATAATAAAGTTCAAATTCTCCAGCCAGGCTTTTACCTCTATCTACTGCTACACTATCTACCTCTCCTCAACTTTACTTTCTCATTTGTTTTGCAATTTAGATTGTAAAAGTGTGTTCAGTATGGTTTTATCTCTGCAGAGGCTGTGGCAGTTCAAACCCACATAAGTTTGGGACTGTGATTACTTCTTTTTTTTTTTTTTCCATCCAGAGTCCAGATTGAGATGAGAAGCTTCTTCTTTGTCATCTTTCTCTGCTTCTGGGTAGATTTTTCTATCCCTCCTTTTCACTGAGAGAGTAATTTTTTGAGGGTCAGGAGAGGATGAAATTCATTCTAAGTCTCCATTTTGGGTTATTCCCAAAGGCTTTTTCCTCTCTAGGACTTCTTCCTGTTAAGCCACCTTGTATCTTTTTGTCTGGAGGGATCATACAAGAGTTGTGCTTGTTCGAAAATCGGTTTATCCCAGTTACACCAGGTATTTAATTACGCAATACAAATTAAGTACTTTATAAGCTGATTAAATGTGACTTCAAA